>NC_000007.14:87052233-87355263 GCF_000001405.40 Homo sapiens
AGTTTCAGTGGCTAGGGAGGCCTCACAATCATTGTGGAAGGTGAAAGGCACATCTCACATGGCGGCAGACAAGAGAAGAGAGATTGTACAGGGAAACTCCCCCTTATGAAACCACTGGATCTCAAGAAACTTATTCACTATCATGAGAACAGCATGTGAAATAACTGCCCCCATGATTCAATTAACTCCCACCAGGTCCCTCCCACAACACATGGGAATTCAAGATGAGATTTGGGTGGGAACACAGGCAAACCATATCAATTCCTTTCTTTATACTGAGCGCAATGGTTCTTGCTGGGCTTCAATCCCAGGGTTTCCATTTTAGTAGGTTGTGCACAGGAACCAAGCACTTATATTTCTAACAACTTCCTAACTAATGTTGACACTGCTAGTCCTAGGAGCTCACTTTGTGGACTACTAACCTAGAGAAAAGAGCTCATAAAAGCAACATTTTGAATAAGGGTAATAAATGTACTTCCAACTCGAGTTGTAAACTGAGTTGAGAATCAACTTCAGTATATTCTGATCACAGGGTTTGTTTTCTTTTGTTTTGTTTTGTTTTGTTTTGTTTTGTTTTGTTTGAGACAGGGTCTTGCTCTGTCACCCAGACTGGAGTGCAGTGGCACAATCACAGCTCCCTGCAGCCTCAACCTCCCAGGTTCAATCAATTCTCCCACCTCAGCATCCCAAGTAGCTGGGACTACAGGCCCATGCCACCATGCCCAGCTGATTTTTTTATTTTTTTGTAGAGACAGGGTCTTGCTATGTTGCCCAGGATGGTCTTAAACTGCTTGGCTCAAGTGATTTACCTACCTCAGCCTTCCAAAGTGTTGGGATTACAGGTGTGGGCCACCTCGCCCAAACTGACCACTAGGGTTTATTTCAGGGTCTTAAATCTGGCACAACCAAGAGGATATGTTGATTAGAATTAAATGTACCATAAAGATCAATTCCTGTTTATAACTGAAAAAGCAGAAACTATTCACTTACTATATTTTTAAGTCAGTGATTAGTGCTCCCAAAGAAAAGGATATATGTCTTACTCATTTTTAAAACCCCCAAAATGCCTTAAATGAAAGATAGTACTGTTTGCTAATAAGATGATACAATCCTTGCCCTCAATGAACATATCATGTACTAGGGGAGAGATAACATTTGTGTATTCAAAGCCTCTGGTAAAACAAATGGTGCCTTTGTGTGATTTAGAAAATAGTGACCCCCTCTGGGCATATGAACTAGAAAAAGGTATCCCTTTTTCCAGGTAAATGCAGACCTGTGCCAGGACATATAGCTAAGCATGCTGAGAAATGGGTGGATTCTTCTTCTTACCCCTTTAGCTGGGTGCCCTTGGAGAGAGCACAACTCATTCATCTATATGGGGTGGGGGGCTGTGCGTGCAAAACACTTGTGGGACAGCATATATGTGTCAGAGAGTAAACAATAGGCTGTGACTAGAATTCAGAGAAGAGAAAAGATCCTTTGTTTTTACTAGTCCAGGAAAGGATAGGATATAGGGATGGATCTAGGTCAGGAGGCTTCCTCTGTGAGAGATGTTCTCTCACCATCACCCACAACCTGCATCCAGCTAACTCCTACTCATCCTTTAGATCTTACCTTAAACATCTTTTCCTGGTAATCCACCTGCTCCCAGCCCCTAACTAGGATGGCTATTCATTCTCACTGCACACGGAAATTTTCCGTCACTGTACTTATGGCAAATGTAATTGCATGATGTGTGGTTTTGTTTTAAACCTACTCCCCTGAGATTACAAAGCTCCATGGAGCAGGGGCCTATGTTTTGTTCATCCATTCATTGTCAATACCTGCTATATAAGTACATGATAAATATATGTATATATACATATTGAATATTGAAATACTACATAGAACACACATGATGAAAGGCAAAAAGGAAAGAGAATAATCTGTGGTTTCTTCAAGAGAAAAGAAAAGCAACCAAAATGTGGCTAGTGTTTTCTGACAATAAAGAATTATTATAAGATGCAAGACTCTGCTGGAGAAGACACTATGATAGGAAAACGTGCCACTCTATACTATGCTCTGCTATTTCCATCCCTTGTGCTAAAATATGACACTTCACAGATCTGTCAACTCTTGGTTTTACATTGTAAATATTGATGGTGTGAATACTTGCTCGCATTTGCCTAAAACATGAGAAATGATTCTAAGCATAAGAACTGGAAATGGAAAATTCACCTCCACAGGCATTAACAGGAAAGATTAGTTACGTTAACTGCTTGAAAACAGAGGCTGAGTCCTAACTCCTTCAATAACAGTGTGACTGTAGAACCTTTGACAGCTTCACCCATAGCCCATGGCCTTCAGGGACTTCCTACAGAAAGGATGTTTCTCAGCTGTGCCCATCAAGTTCTGAAACAAAAAACATGACCATTACAGGTCTTGTGGTTTACATGGATTTTGAAGACCCAGTAGCTTACCAAATCTAGGAAGGCTCTATAACACAATTCCACTCCATCACCACCATCTCACCTCCCAGTTAACACTCAACCCATCTCCACCATCCCATAGGAAACACTCTGGTGCTGAGCACCAGTGACCTAATCACAGAATTCAATCTTCTCTCTTCAGTCATCATCTTATTTGGATTTCATCGGGCAACTGACACACAATGAGCCCTATCTTCTTCAAAGGCTTTTCTTTTTCCCACAACTCCACACTCACATTTCTTCTTTACCAGCCATTGCTACATGTCTCCTTTGTGAACTCCTCGGTTTCTGTCCCCTTTCATGTAGGTAAAACCCAAGTCCTATCTTCAGCACTTTGTTCTCACTCCCTGCATGATCTCAACCAATCCAGTCATTTCAACAATGTCTTCCATTCAAGTTATTCCCAGGTCACCACACCAGCCCACACCATGCCCCTGAGGAACAGGGCCTAATAATACCTAACTGCCTACTCAACAGCTCTACATAAAGTCACTCCTTCCAGACAGAACAAGCTCCTTATCCCATCTTCTTCACATTTCTTCTCAGGGAGGTTAAGAGGCACCATCCTCTAATCAAGTTAGAACATTTCATTCTCTCACCCTCTGCATCCACTCACTGCCAATTCTATCTAAAGCATACTACTCCTCTTTTTGAAGTCCTACTACTGCATCCTATTGCCTACCAAATGAAGACCAGCTTCTTAGTGTGATATAAGGTCCCTTATGATAGGCTCCTGCCTGCCTGTCAGATTCATCTCTCATTAAGCTTCTCATTGCATGCTGTACTTCAGTTAGAACCAATTACAATACAATGCTGTTTCATGTTTCTGCCCTTTTTCAATCTGTGCTCTTCACCTGAAATGTCTTTCCCCCAAACTAGCCTACACTCACATCTGACCCTTGTCTGCTTGGCAAATTCCTACTTATCAATTAAGTCTCATTCACTTCCTCCATAGGGCCTTTTCTGATCCCACCCCCCTCAGTAGATATGATGGCCCATTGCTTCTTTCATGGCTTCAAATCACTTAACTGCAATGTTTGTTTACATATCTGTCTCATCCTTATCCAATTAAATTATATTCTTTAAATTACTAATTTCATATCTGACATTTTGTCTAGCACATGGTATAAACTGAATGTGGAACAAAAACTGTTAGCAAAACTCATCATTCAGTAGTCAGGGAGAACAGCAGAATTGCATTATGCAAGATTTTACAGCAGTGAACTAAGAATCAGCTATTTTGTGATTTAATTTACCAAATGTAAATAATACAGACATAATCCAATTAGTTCTGTTCTTTTTACTCTCATGTACTTTTCTATCTTCTGATACCTTACTGCAACTCTGAATTATCTGTTGGCCTTTATATTTTTTTGCTCTGGCAGCCCCATTAAGTCCTATTATTCACTGAGTCAAAAATGTCATGCCAAGTCTTGGATGGGCCTATCCTAGGAACCTCTGGAGTCTCACTGTAGACTCTTCCCAAAATATCAGGATCTAGCTCTACTAATCTAGCAATAATCAGCCCTCATATTTATATTTCTCCTTTATCTTATATTAATCTCATTTCATCCTCATAATACAAATAATTGGTCATGTTTCATTAATAACATTTTATAAGTGAAACACAGGCCAAGAAACCCAAAGAAGATTTACCTTTTATAAGTTCACCCCATACAAAAACCTGAGGAATTCTATACTTTCTGATGTCCAGGCCTCATTTATTTCCTTTGAATACCATTTTCCAAAGTCACATCCTATTCTTGTGCTTCATCTGCCAGCACTTTGACTTTCCTTTTATTTCTGTCTCCCAAATGATCGCTTCCTGTTTGTGCGTGTGCTTCCACACTGCTGATCTGATCACCAGCTGAACATTCCAACACAATAACTTTTCTCCCCCTTTCGACTTCATAATCCAAAGACTTTGACAAAGGAATATGTATTTTATGAGTTTCACCCCAGAGTCCATTCCTCTGCAAAAATCTAAATGTAACTTTTACCCATAACCTAGTTTTTGAAGGGCCTTTTTTCTGAACTCAGGCAATTATAACTGGATGACTCCCAGGCCAGTTCTCTGCATTTGTCTTCCTTTAGTTGCTTTCCTCTAAAACCAGGCAGGAAAATCAGAGTTTATGTAACTTTGTTAAACATGACTACTTCTACAAAAATATTAATAAATGAGGGTGACACAAACTACTGGGGGGAAATGAGGTTCAAAATGGCCTATAGCTTTTTCTATACTCCTCAACATTCTCTCACATTGAGAGTTGGTTTTAGCTCTCAGCCTGAAAATTCCTCACTTTAACTGCCCTCACTCTGTTCCCCACTGCATAGTCTGTCCTTTGTGGCATTTGCCTCCTTTAATGTTAACAAAAAGTGGAAAATGATAAACGAGCAGGAGTGAACACAGAGTAGTTACTTTAACTGTGTCTTTATTCACAGGCGTTTAGCCCACAATCCCATAACTGTATTCAGAGGAAAGGGCTGAGCTCAAGAGGATACCCTTTCCCCACTCCCAGCACAAACATTCCTTTACCTTCAAAGTCTGAAAATAACTTGCCCTCCCCACTTTCCTCTTAAAAACAATGTCAGAGAAAAACAATGACCAATTCTGTAAATTAGCTCCACTGGTTAGACCAGATATCAAACAGATTCAACCCCTGGGAGGTCACTAGGCCTCTTCTACTTCCAAGAACTTCTAACTCCCATTAGTTCCTCTTACTTGTCAGTCATCAGGAAGAACATAAATGGATCTGTGCATTAACATTTATAAAAACATACAGCCAAAGGCAGGCTCAATAGCGTCCTCCTATATATTTTATTTATTCTCATTTTTCAGAAGGAAAATGTAAATTTCAGATCTCAACGGATGAGTCACATGCAATTTCTAAAGCCAATGCAGTAAGGACCTGTGATCAAGTGAACCCAGCCTTCCTGAACCTTCTGTCATCTCTCTGCCCCTCCTTTCAATCTTTGTTTTAGGTTGCAGACTCTTCTTTCTAGGTATACATGTGTAGGACATGTGTTCATCTAAAAGATTAGTCTAGTTGTAGAGACCAAAGGCATCACTTCTATTGACCCTGACCTTCGCCTACTTCAAGCAGATTTTCATTACTAAGAATCGATGTTATCAGAAGCTTAAGACTTTTCAGTTTAGAAAAATATATTCTGCATATTAGAAGTTGGGGGCTGGAGGATAAAGTTTATCTTGTCACAACTGTTCAATCTGAGATGTCCAAGAAGCAGCTTTCTGTGGAAACCTGGAATAATGGATTATTCCCAGGTGATATGTAAAGTTGTAGAATATAGATTAAGCTCATTATACTAAAAAGCCCTAAAATTAAACACAGCTGTTTGTTGAGCTCTTGCCCTGATTTCCCCAATTACAACATTGCTGTGTGTTCGCACACAAGCCTTTGATCCGATTCTCTTTCATTTCAGTCTGTCCTGGGACCTGTACTGTAGGAGAGAAAGACGAAAATCCATAGATGATGGATGATGTGTAGAACACAGATACTCTGTAATTCAAGTCTCGGTAAAATTCAGAAGTTAGAGCAACATACACAAACAAGAGGGTCTGGCCTTTCTTCCCAGAGGGGCTATTGGCTAACCTATTTTTGCTACATTAATTAAAACGACCCATCGCCCTGATTCCTAACAATCTTCCTAAAAACAGTATCTATTCCATATATCCTCCCAACACAATCAAAGTAGGTCAGAAATGTTGCTTCCTTCCCCTCATTGATTTTCATTAAGAGGATGCACTTTCTGAACACTAAATGGAAAGATAAACACCCAATACAAGAACCAATGACACCCCCTGTAAATTTTTGGCACACTGTCTCGTTCTTCTAAAAGCCAGATAAAAATCTCATCTCCCATAGTTTATCCTTTTTGGCTGTAAAACAACAATGATTACAAGCTATAAAATACACCGCGGCAATACTTCAGCCAGGTGATAAAGCACCTCCCAAAAGAAGCATATTCACTGTCTTTTCTAATTTTCTCCATCATCAACCTGCATCTTCTCTACCAAGTACATACTCCTTTTTTTTCCCCCCCAAATTCAAATCCACATTTTGTCAGAAGGATGCTAAGTGACACCATACATTGGCTTAGCAAACCCACAGGGCCTTAATCAGGAAGCTGAGGGCAGGGGAGTAGGACGAAGGCGTTTGCAGAGACAGGGGAGTGGAGACAGGGGGAGGAGGAGCGGGAAATCCTCTGGTGTCTGTGTCTGGCTCTCTGGAAAAGCTGTGATGAGATGGTTCTTCAAATCCCACTGGTGGGGCTTCCCCAGTCTCCTCCCCTTCCTGAAATCTTTCCCTCGACCCCAGGTCCTCAAACCTGGCTGTCCAAAAAGGACGCCGCAAAGTCCTGCAGAGCCCCCAAAAGACACAAGCGCGGACAGAAAAGCATCCCCCGAGAGACAGCGAAGCCACACACCCTCTCCGGGCCAGCTACCAGGGCGGGCAACTTCACCCCTCGAAGCAAACGAAAGCCCCTGTTCTCCAAGCAAAGGAAAAGGGGATGGCAAACAGAAATAAACAGGAACCGCTCTCAGCCTTCATCTTCCGCGCCCTCCCCCAGCAAACTCCAGGTAGAGGACCAGGTGCTGCTCACCTCCTGGCAAGGAGGAAGCGGGCGGCTGGAGGAGGAGGGCAGGTCCCCAGCCCAGGCCGCCTGGCAGCCGGCGAGCGCCCAGCAGCAAATCCAGGCGGGGCTCCAGGGCGGCGAGCGCCCGCGGCGGGGAGCCTCCGCCGGCCGCCCCCAGCCCCTGCCCCGTACCGGCCCCCGGGCGCGGAACAGCATCTTCGTCCGGCCGCGGTCGGCGGGCCGGCGGCAAGGCAGCCTTCCCGGGGTGCGGCGGCAGCTCCGGCTCCCGGGCCGCGACTGCTGTGCGCTCGTCTCGCCGCTCCGTCACCCGCTGCCCGTCCGCCCGCTGACAGCTCTGCTGCGCTCGCGGCCCGGGCAGCCAGCGCCGATGCTCCCGTCACGCCGGAGGGAGGGACCGCGGGGCGCGGGCGCGGCGCGGGGGCGGGACGCGGGGCGGGGACGCTGGAGCTGGGGAGCAGGTGGCGCGGGCGGGGGCTGCGGCCCAGCCCGGCGGGTCCCCAGGGGCTGCGCGGCGCTCGCCTCGCGCTAGAGGGCGAGAGAGGCTGGGGACCCCGTGGAGTAGCCTGTCTCAGGTCCCCGTGGCCCACTGGGAGGGGCGCTCCCGGGATGAAGCCAGAGTAAATACAGGACATCAGGACATTGTTTTCTGGCGGTGGGTCTTTAAAAAGCTCGCCACTTTCCTCATTGCACACAAACACGCAGATGTGCCCTCGGAACATCCCTTGTAAGGATCCATGCTGGCTAGCGTCAGATCGAATTTCTAGTTAGGGTGTGCATGAAATGGCGGGGAAGAAAGAGGACTGAGGTGTAGACGTGGTGTGTGACTCAGTTTTCTCACCTATTTAATGAAAATAATACCCACCACGTAGGATTATTATGAGGATTAAGTAAGTTGATGTACATAAAGCACTTGGAAGAGTGCCTGGCACACAGTAGGTGACATGTGTTGGTAGTAGTAGCCATAATTATTGCTGCTATTGGTGTTATTTTGTGGAGATGTGTAACATTGGGCATTAAGCCCTGTGTTTTCTGGAGGAAACAGTTTCTCCATCTGTGCGATGATTGAGGTGCTCTTCGTTTTTTCTTTCATTCAAAAACATACTGAACTAGGTGATGGTGAACAAGATGGACATAAGGCCTTCCTCAGTGGCAAGGATCTCAAGATCCCTTCTTGATCTCAGATTCTGTAAATGGGTGAGTTATTGTGTTTTTCAAAAGAAGCATCCAAATTTCTGATTATTGAATATCTGGACAAATCCACGTGGCCCACTCATTATAAGTTGGCCTGTGGCACATTTGTTTGTGGCATTATCTCTAATATCCTTTTAACAAAATTTCCACATGAAAGTCTCTGTATATGTGTGTTTGTGTGTATGTATACACATATAGATTTGTGTATCACACCTATATTCTGATTATAACAATATATGTTATTTGTAAACATTTTGGAAAATATTGAAAAGTATCAGGAAGAATATAAAAATAACTAGAGATCCTACCACCCAGAGATAACATTGTTAATGGTATTAACATGTTGAGGAATTTCCTTGCTTTTTTTTTTTTAACTCTGTGTGTACTGCAAAACTGGAATAATAATTTGTAACCTGCTTTTATTTTTATTCTTAATAACATAAATATTTTCTCAAGTCATTAAAGTCTCCAACAACACAACTTTAATAATTGTAAAATATTTTCTACTCTTTAGATACATGTAATTTACTATTAGATATTAGGCATTGTTTAAGGATTCAGTGTTATTAATAATTCTGGAAAGAATGCCCTTGGAACATAATCTGTGTGCATCTTTAAATATTTTATGATAACTTTCTAGAAGTGAAAACATTGGATCACATGATATGTGTATTTTTAAAGTTTTTGACGAATAGTGTACAAATTCCTTCCAAAAAATTTGTAGCAATTGTTACCAGCAGTTTATGAGTATTTATTTCACATCACCCTAGATTATAATACTTCAGATATTTATCATTTTGGTAGAAGAGACAAAAGCTATTATTTTTAAAATGTATTTTTATCATTGGTGACATCGAGTGATTTTTTATATATATCTACTAGCTATTTGCATTTTTCCTTCTCATGTCAGGGTGTGAGAATTTTTCACTGGCACACTTTAGCCATTTTATTGAAGTTCCATTTTTTATTGATTCGTTAGCAATCTTCATAAGCTTTGTGTATGTTTATCATATATCTTACAAATACTTTTTTGTAGTCTTTTAAATTTACTTCTGATAGCTTTTCTGGCAGAAGCTTGTCATCTTTAGGTATTCAAATGTAGCAACATTTTCTTTTGTGATTTCTTCCTTTTTTATATCTAGAAGTACACGTATCTCTGCAAAATCATACAGATGCCTATGTTTTCTTATTTTGTTATATTTTGTTATTATTTCCTTTTTATATGCTTTATTCTTTAATTCATGTGGAATTTTTAGGAGTCAAATTATGTTATGATTTTTGTCATCTGAGAAAGAACTAACAACATGACTATTAAATTGAAAACAGCTTCTTTCCTTATAAAAATAAGAGTCGTCCAGTCAATGCACTTGGATCAAATGACAATTGTAGATTTTCCAGAGTAGGACAACTTGCCACTTTCAATAAATACTTTTCTCATAGTTGTCCCATCCATAAAAAAGATCTTGACCTTGGATAATTAAAATCAGCATAAAGGCTGACAGAGAAAGGAAATTTCAAGAAGACTCTAAGGTCCTCTTCTACCTGTTATTTTAGGATGTAATAGCAAATTATTCAAAGTTTGTGATTATCTGATCAATAAATTTACTCTTAAAGATAGTTTTATAAAAATATACTTTAATAGAAAATTCATAATGAAATTTTTGCAAGAATGGGTTGAAATAGCTTACAATCACTAGGTAATAATCATTTTTCCACTTTATTTGTGCAGTGTATACCTGAAAATTGAACTGAATTTTGTTAAAAAGTCAACAAAAGCCTTAGCTGTATCAACAAAAGCCATAGCCAAAATGATGCTATATAAATAGATTTATTTTCTTTTTTAACTTAAATCAGATTGTGGTATAAATAACCCCAATTTTTATTTATTTTATTTTTATTTTTATTTTTATTATTATACTTTAAGTTTTAGGGTACATGTGCACAATGTGCAGTTTAGTTACATATGTATACATGTGCCATGCTGGTGTGCTGCACCCACTAACTCGTCATCTAGCATTAGGTATATCTCCCAGTGCTATCCCTCCCCCCTCCCCCCACCCCACAACAGGCCCCAGAGTGTGATGTTCCCCTTCCTGTGTCCATGTGTTCTCATTGTTCAATTCCCACCTATGAGTGAGAATATGCGGTGTTTGGTTTTTTGTTCTTGCAATAGTTTACTGAGAATGATGATTTGCAATTTCATCCATGTCCCTACAAAGGACATGAACTCATCATTTTTTATGGCTGCATAGTATTCCATGGTGTATATGTGCCACATTTTCTTAATCCAGTCTATCATTGTTGGGCATTTGGGTTGGTTCCAAGTCTTTGCTATTGTCAATAATGCCGCAATAAACATACGTGTGCATGTGTCTTTATAGCAGCATGATTTATAGTCCTTTGGGTATATACCCAGTAATGGGATGACTGGGTCAAATGGTATTTCTAGTTCTAGATCCCTGAGGAATCGCCACACTGACTTCCACAATGGTTGAACTAGTTTACAGTCCCACCAACAGTGTAAAAGTGTTCCTATTTCTCCACATCCTCTCCAGCACCTGTTGTTTCCTGACTTTTTAATGATTGCCATTCTAACTGGTGTGAGATGGTATCTCATTGTGGTTTTGATTTGCATTTCTCTGATGGCCAGTGATGGTGAGCATTTTTTCATGTGTTTTTTGGCTGCATAAATGTGTTCTTTTGAGAAGTGTCTGTTCATGTCCTTCGCCCACTTTTTGATGGGGTTGTTTGTTTTTTTCTTGTAAATTTGTTTGAGTTCATTGTAGATTCCGGATATTAGCCCTTTGTCAGATGAGTAGGTTGCAAAAATTTTCTCCCATTTTGTAGGTTGCCTGTTCACTCTGATGGTAGTTTCTTTTGCTGTGCGGAAGCTGTTTAGTTTAATTAGATCCCATTTGTCAATTTTGTCTTTTGTTGCCATTGCTTTTGGTGTTTTAGACATGAAGTCCTTGCCCATGCCTATGTCCTGAATGGTAATGCCTAGGTTTTCTTCTAGGGTTTTTATGGTTTTAGGTCTAATGTTTAAGTCTTTAATCCATCTTGAATTAATTTGTGTATAAGATGTAAGGAAGGGATCCAGTTTCAGCTTTCTACGTATGGCTAGCCAGTTTTCCCAGCACCATTTATTAAATAGGGAATCCTTTTCCCCATTGCTTGTTTTTCTCAGGTTTGTCAAAGATCAGATAGTTGTAGATATGCAGCGTTATTTCTGAGGGCTCTGTTCTGTTCCATTGATCTATATCTGTGTTTTGGTACCAGTACCATGCTGTTTTGGTTACTGTAGCCTTGTAGTATAGTTTGAAGTCAGGTAGCGTGATGCCTCCAGCTTTGTTCTTTTGTCTTAGGATTGACTTGGCGATGTGGGCTCTTTTTCGGTTCCATATGAACTTTAAAGTAGTTTTTCCCAATTCTGTGAAGAAAGTCATTGGTAGCTTGATGGGGATGGCATTGAATCTATAAATTACCTTGGGCAGTATGGCCATTTTCACGATATTGATTCTTCCTACCCATGAGCATGGAACGTTCTTCCATTTGTTTGTATCCTCTTTTATTTCATTGAGCAGTGGTTTGTAGTTCTCCTTGAAGAGGTCCTTCACATCCCTTGTAAGTTGGATTCCTAGGTATTTTATTCTCTTTGAAGCAACTGTGAATGGTAGTTCACTCATGATTTGGCTCTCTGTTTGTCTGTTATTGGTGTATAAGAATGCCTGTGAGTTTTGTACATTGATTTTGTATCCTGAGACTTTGCTGAAGTTGCTTATCAGCTTAAGGAGATTTTGGGCTGAGACAATGGGGTTTTCTAGATATACAATCATGTCGTCTGCAAACAGGGACAATTTGACTTCCTCTTTTCCTAATTGAATACCCTTTATTTCCTTCTCCTGCCTAATTGCCTTGGCCAGAACTTCCAGCACTATGTTGAATAGGAGTGGTGAGAGAGGGCATCCCTGTCTTGTGCCAGTTTTCAAAGGGAATGCTTCCAGTTTTTGCCCATTCAGTATGATATTGGCTGTGGGTTTGTCATAGATAGGTCTTATTATTTTGAAATACGCCCCATCAATACCTAATTTATTGAGAGTTTTTAGCATGAAGCGTTGTTGAATTTTGTCAAAGGCCTTTTCTGCATCTATTGAGATAATCATGTGGTTTTTGTCTTTGGTTCTGTTTATATGCTGGATTACATTTATTGATTTGCGTATATTGAACCAGCCTTGCATCCCAGGGATGAAGCCCACTTGATCATGGTGGATAAGCTTTTTGATGTGCTGCTGGATTCAGTTTGCCAGTATTTTATTGAGGATTTTTGCATCAATGTTCATCAAGGATATTGGTCTAAAATTCTCTTTTTTGGTTGTGTCTCTGCCCAGCTTTGGTATCAGGATGATGCTGGCCTCATAAAATGAGTTAGGGAGGATTCCCTCTTTTTCTGTTGATTGGAATAGTTTCAGAAGGAATGGTACCAGTTCCTGCTTGTACCTCTGGTAGAATTCGGCTGTGAATCCATCTGGTCCTGGACTCTTTTTCGTTGGTAAGCTATTGATTATTGCCACAATTTCAGATCCTGTTATTGGTCTATTCAGAGATTCAACTTCTTCCTGGTTTAGTCTTGGGAGAGTGTATGTGTCGAGGAATTTATCCATTTCTTCTAGATTTTCTAGTTTATTTGCATAGAGGTGTTTGTAGTATTCTCTGATGGTAGTCTGTATTTCTGTGGGATCGGTGGTGATATCCCCTCTATCATTTTTTATTGTGTCTATTTGATTCTTCTCTCTTTTTTTCTTTATTAGTCTTGCTAGCGGTTTATCAATTTTGTTGATCCTTTCAAAAAACCAGCTCCTGGATTCATTAATTTTTTGAAGGGTTTTTTGTGTCTCTATTTCCTTCAGTTCTGCTCTGATTTTAGTTATTTCTTGCCTTCTGCTAGCTTTTGAATGTGTTTGCTCTTGCTTTTCTAGTGCTTTTAATTGTAATGTTAGGGTGTCAATTTTGGATCTTTCCTGCTTTCTCTTGTGGGCGTTTAGTGCTATAAATTTCCCTCTACACACTGCTTTGAATGCGTCCCAGAGATTCTGGTATGTTGTGTCTTTGTTCTCGTTGGTTTCAAAGAACATCTTTATTTCTGCCTTCAGTTCGTTATGTACCCAGTAGTCGTTCAGGAGCAGTTTGTTCAGTTTCCATGTAGTTGAGCGTTTTTGAATGAGATTCTTAATCCTGAGTTCTAGTTTGATTGCACTGTGGTCTGAGAGATAGTTTGTTATAATTTCTGTTCTTTTACATTTGCTGAGGAGAGCTTTACTTCCAAGTATGTGGTCAATTTTGGAATAGGTGTGGTGTGGTGCTGAAAAAAATGTATATTCTGTTGACTTGGGGTGGAGAGTTCTGTAGATGTCTATTAGGTCCACTTGGTGCAGAGCTGAGTTCAATTCCTGGGTATCCTTGTTGACTTTCTGTCTCGTTGATCTGTCTAATGTTGACAGTGGGGTGTTAAAGTCTCCCATTATTAATGTGTAGGAGTCTAAGTCTCTTTGTAGGTCACTCAGGACTTGCTTTATGAATCTGGGTGCTCCTGTATTGGGTGCATATGTATTTAGGATAGTTAGCTCTTCTTGTTGAATTGATCCCTTTACCATTATGTAATGGCCTTCTTTGTCTCTTTTGATCTTTGTTGGTTTGAAGTCTGTTTTATCGGAGACTAGGATTGCAACCCCTGCCTTTTTTTGTTTTCCATTTGCTTGGTAGATCTTCCTCCATCCTTTTATTTTGAGCCTATGTGTGTCTCTGCACGTGAGATGGGTTTCCTGATTACAGCACACTGATGGGTCTTGACTCTTTATCCAATTTGCCAGTCTAATAACCCCAATTTTTAAAAGACTAAGCACAAACAAAATCAGAAAAAAATAATCTGATTGAATTCAAGTAGCAAATTTTTAAATTAATTTTAAACCATCAATGAAAACATCAATGTAACGTGTCTTCTGTATCAAATTAGCAAAGAGATAATAATTCTGGCAAATGTATGCTGTGGATTATACACTCAGGAGAACATATATTTCTGGAGGATAATTTGGCAATGTGTATTAACTGCCTTTAATATGTTTATGCCTTAACCCAGTAATTTTTCCATCCAGGACTCTAAGGAACTGGTAGGTAAGGAGCACAAAGTTTCTGTACAAGAATACTCACTATCCTTTAATATGATTAAAAATGAAGTAACCTAAGTGCCCCAAAGTAGAGGAATGGTTAAATAAATTGTACTGCTTCATGTGGTAGGATTATGTATGTATTAAAAGTTACATTTACTAGAGAATGGTAAATGAATTGAGGAAATATGATGATATAATGTTAATGGAAAAAGCTGGAAACAAATCCTAATAAACATATATCCTCCACAAAGGCATAAGAGTGATGTAATGGACTTTGGAGACTCAAGGGGAAAGGTTGGTAAGGTGAGGGATAAAAGACTATATATATTGGGTACAATATACACAGCACAGGTGACAGGTGCATTGAAATTTCAGGTATCACCACTAAAAAACTTATCCATGTAATAAAAAACCACTTGTACCCCCAAAACCATTGAAATTAAAAAGTAAAATAATAAACAGTGTATCCTCAAGTATGATGTGCAGGGGGTTGGGGAAGAGTTTAAGTGTGCTTTATGGAAGGAATATCACTAGAAGGAAATAAGCCAAACTGTTGGCAGTAATTATCTTCTAATACTAGCATAACAGATATTTTTCCTTTCATTTTTACAGACTCTGTGTTTTTGATTTTTCCATAATTACATATTATTTTTATAATCATTACAAATTACTAAAAATGTTTGTATTCTTTGATGCCAATCAATTCTACCTGAAGAAATCATCAAAGATTTATACAAATATGTAAGAACAATATGCAAGGACAAAATATTCACCCATGTTTTTTGTAAAAGAAAATGAATGAAACCTAAATATTTAATACTAGGGAAAGTAAATAATGTATATTATCCTGACCAAAGAATTATTTTATGAAAGGTGTCTGACAGGGAAATGCTTATGAAAATGCTTTCAGTTAAATGGGGGAAATCATGATACAAAATTTATACACAATTGATACATCCAATGTAGTAAAATTATAAAAACATGGACAGCAGGATACAAACCAATTTCAGAATACTGATTGCTTCAAGGAGAAGAAAGGAGAATAATATTGGGAAGGAATGTAAAAGGGGCTTCACCAGCATCATTAATACTTTATTTCCAAAAGGAAAAAGGATGAAAGGGATGGAGAAAAGAAGAAAGAAATATCTGAAGCAAATTTGAATGCTGTATCATTGTTTTGTTGTGAGTGTTGAATGGCAGTTACAATAGCTAACATTTATTGAGCACTTAATATATGCCATTGCTGTTCTAAGATGTTTACAAGTTCTACTTCATTTAACCCTCAAAAACAACCCTATGTGATAGGTACTCTTATCTCCATTTTACAGATGAGCAAATAAAGGCACAAGTTTCTCAGAAAAGATAGTGTTGGGTTTCAAACACAGGCAGTCATATTCTAGGGCTCACCCCCTTAGGGAGTTTTATTACCCTCTTCTATTTTTTTTAAATATCATTTAAATTATTAAATAGAATATAGTCTTAACTAGGTTTTAAAAATCATATTTGAAAAACTGAGGATAGGCCAGATGACTAGCAAAGATGGTGTTTTCTGGACAAAATGTATGGATTAGTTTTTTTCTATTATACTTTTCCATACTTCCGAATTTTTTTAGAAAATATATATTAGTTCAATTTTTAAAACAAGAAAGATGGGACATATCAAAAAGAAGTATGATACTTCTACCTTTTGTACATCCATTTGGTCACCATATTTTAAATAACTGTAGGGAAAGAAGAATGGAGAATTGAGGAGGATAAATAGGATTCTAAAGAAAACAAAAGAATGATTTCAACAAATGGAAAATGGGTCACATGAGGAAAGGCTAAATTCAGGTGTTTTGAGTTGCTTTCTCTGAGTCCATGAAAGCCTCTCACCAGAGGGATTTATCTGCCTTGCTCTCCATTTTCCTCAAGGATCAAAACAAAACTATTTATAGTTAAAGGAGAAAAAATTTCACTTGGATATAGAGTTTAACCTACTGTGAGAGGTTGTGGAAATATTCAAGAAGAATGTTGTATTAGTCAGGTTTCTTCAGAGGGACAGGACAAATAAGATATGTGTGTGTGAGAGAGTGAGAGAGAGAATTGGCTCACTCTATTATGGAGGCTGAGAAGTCCCATAATCTTCCTTCTGCAAACTAGAGACCCAGGAAAGCCAGTAGTGTGATTCAGTCCAAGGCCAAAAGCCCTGAGAACCAGGGAGTTAGTGGTGTAACTCTCAGTCCAAGACTGAAGGCCTGAGAGCCAAGAGCTCTGAGGGCAGGAGAAGACGGATAGCCCAACTCAAAAAGAGAGACAGCTGGTTCTTCCTCCACCTTTTTGTTCTATTCAGGCCCTCAATGAATTGGAGCATGCCCACTCATTTTGGTGAGGGCAGGTCTTGACTTAGCCTACTGACTGAAATGCTAATCTTTTCCAGAAACACCCTCAAAGACACACCCAGAAATGTTTTGCCAGCTATCTGGGCATCCCTTAGCCCAGTTAAGTTGATGCATAAAATTAACCATCACAAACGTGATGTCAGACAAACCTGCATTTTAAATTGAAACTCCACTTACTTACTGTCTGCGTGATCTTGGGAACATAATCACCCTTGACTTAAGTTTCTTCACCTGTAATTTAGAGCTAAAAATACTTGTCACTATAGGGTAAGTGTACAATGAGTTAATGTGTTAATACATAATGAGTTAATGTACCTAAAGCATCTGGCAAGTTTATTGGTATATTTCTATATATGTTCCCTTCCTAAATTATTTAAGCCAGTATATCCCCAGTAGAGTCCGAAACCGCCAAGGAGAGGATGCACCTCCAGCATCTTCCTAGATCAGGAGTTTTCTCTGAGAACTTTTACTAAAAGTGGGATGGAATGAGTATAAAAGAAACAAACTGCAGGCTGGGGAGGGTGGCTCACACCTGTAATCCCAGCACTTTGGGAGGCCAGGGAGGCAGATCACTTGAGGCCAGGACTTCGAGACCAGCCTGGCCAACATGGTGAAACCCCATCTGTACTAAAAATACAAAAATTAGCCAGGCATGATGGCACAGGCCTGTAATCCCAGCTACTCAGGAGGCTGAGACAGGAGAATCACTTGAACCCAGAAGGTGGAGCTTGCAGTGAGCCGAGATCGTTCCACTGCACTCCAGCCTGGGCAACAAAGTGAGACTTTGTCTCAAAAAAAAAAAAAAAAACCGAATCAAACTGCAATTCTGCAGCACTTCACCATTTTGCTACTCAATATACATAAACATTCTTATTCCTGCATTCAAATTTCCATATCTGCATGATGTTCATTTCTCTTCTAGTTCAGTGACAATCCATCTGGATATTCTGAAATCTATTGGGTAAATTATGAAGTTCACTATCACCAATCCATCCTATATTAAAAACTAGAGATTTGCAATACTATTCAGCAATAAAAAGGAATGAACTATTGACACACATTATAACTTAGATGCATCTCAAAGGCATTATGCTAAAGGACAGAAGCCAATCTCAAACTGTTACCTACTGTATGGTTCCATTTATATGGCATTCTCAAAAAGACAAAACAGTGCTTCAAATCAATGGTTGTCAGGGGTTGGGGTGACAGTGGAAAGATGTAACTACAGAGAGATAAAGGAAATTTTTAGAGGTGATAAAACTGTTTTATATCTGAATCGTGATAGTAGTTACCACGTATGTTAAAATTCATAGAATTGTATACCAAAAAGTTAATTTTACTTTATATTTATTTAAAAATTAAACATTTAGAAAAGAAATGAAACCTAATGAATACTAAAGTTGACAATATGTTAGGTTTTGTAGGCATTAGGAAAAAGTAGGAAAACAAGGGAGGAAAATCACTAATATAATTATATGCATAGAAGAACCAGGAAGAAAATTTGAGCAGCTACAAACATTTTCATTTGTGCGATTGCTTTTGAGATCATCTTTGGTATGATAACTTTCTTCCCTCATGGTCCCTTTGTGTTCAGCTAGCATCTCACTTGGTCATGGTTCTTTATCTGGTGGGATTAATTGCTGAGTGGTCTGAGTCTTGGTGGACCTAACTAAAGGGGTTGCTGTAGTCTTCCCTTAACTTTTTTTTATTTTTTGAGACAGGATCTCCCTCTGTCACTCAGGTTGGAGTGAAGTGGCACGATCACAGCTCACTGCAGCTTTGACCTCCCAGACTCAAGTGATCCTCCCACCTTACCCTCCTGAGTAGCTGGGACTACAGGCATGCACCACCATGTCCAGCTAATGTTTTTAATTTTTTTATAGAGGCATGGTTTCACTGTGTTGCCCAGTCTGGTCTTAAACTCCTAGGCTCATGTGATCCTTCTGCCTCAGCCTCCCAAAGTGCCATTAACTTTTATCACTGTTTGTTACAATACTAGGTGGTGCTCCAGAGGAATCCCTGAGCTCCATCATAGAAAATCATAGTAAATCATCACTGGAAACTGTTTTTTTCCTTCCTGGCCCATTGGCAAGAGAAACCCCAAAAGGCCAATTAGCTCACTCAACCTCCAGTTCAACTGTGTCCCCTGATGAAGCGTTTCTCCACTGAATACTATGACCTCCAAACTAGCAGAGTACAAAGAAATAGATTTGGAAAGCAAAAATGTTATGCATTGGTCAGTCAGTGTTAAAATGAGAAATACCACCCCACTTCACTCCTCAGTTTCTGGCTTTGGGAGAAAGAGCATCATATATTAGTCATTAGTTCAGATAATGTACTTTATTCTAAAGGACAACTCCCTCCCACCTCCCGAAGTCAAAAGGTGTTGTTTCCCAGCCGGCACAATAAGTAAGTCTTCCTTAGATCATTCTGCTATGCCATAAGCCAGCTGTTTTTGAGTGAAGGTTTTCTGGAAATACAAGGGAAACCCAAGAGCATTGGTCTTAATTATTTTGCTGTAAAATGAGTCTCTTGATTGATTAAAAGAAAATAGTGTGAAAATGCATACTGTAAATAAGATATCCATTAAGTCAACAGAAGCAGCATGGTAGCCCAAAAAGAATGCCCTGCCATAACTAGTTTGATTGTGACCCATACAAACCATATGCAGATTAAGTGTTTATTTCAGTGAGTACAAAATACTGTTCACTCCATAATGGAGGGGACCCAATATAATCAACCAGAAGGCAGGCTGGTCCCCTCATTATATCATACACTATTGAGCATTCACTATTAGTCTCTATTGCTGGCAGATCGAGCATTCAGCCATGGTAGCAGCCAGGTTGAAGAGAGGCAAGTAATTTGTTACTGAGGCATGCACAGTCTTCATTGCTGCTATGATGGAACATCGTTTATGAGCTCATTGACACAGTGAGGTGAAGGAAGAAGTTGACTGACATCAACCACATGGGTCATCTGGTTGACCTGATAGTTGAACACTTGGTGAAAATTCACATGGGACACTAATATTCTCACACTGGGCCCATTTCAAGAGGTTCAGTCACATAATTTTTTTTCCAATCTTTCTTATCAGCAAGCTGACAAGCCTATTCCTTCAAAGTCCTTTGCTATATGGAGAGACATTTAATTTCTACCCAGGAATTGGTATAGATTTGACCTTCTTCCAGGCAAAGTACACCTGGTTGTACCCATTAGAGGACTTCCCTTCTCCATTTTCCTTCAGTGCCACTCATGATTTATTCATTTATATATATAAAAACAGGGAAAAATTAAACTACTTGGAAGCAGAATGCTATACTGAATGCAATAGTAAATATCAATACAATTTTTTCCTATGACATACATTGTTCAAAGAATGCCCTGCAATGACTAGTTTGTGACCTATGCACCCAATATTTGCATGTCTATTAATTAATATTGACAGTCGGGATAGGAACATTATGGGATATTAAAGCTGAGCCATCAGAAATCCTGTAACCTGACAATTCTTTAAGCATCTTATCACCTTCCCAATTTGTAAAGGAAATGCAAGCATGATTGGCATGCAGAGATTCTGCAAATCCATTTACCCGGATATCTCAGATAAGAGCAATGAAGGAAATAAATATTAGCCCTTAAAGGTCAGGGATATTCAATTCTTACTTAGTGTGGAATATTTCAAATAATCTGAAAGAAAAGGGTAGGTGACTGGACACAAGTTTTGCAAAAGGTTTTAAATGTTAAGCATTGTGAGGAAGTCAACAGCTACAGAACCACAGAACCTTAGAGAAGGATTGGCCTTTAAAGATCACTGAGCCAAATCCCATCTCAAATCCCTGAATCCTCTCTGCAACTCTCCATCAAATGGCTTTTCAGCCTTAAAAAAAATTCAGTGACTAAGAAATCATTATTTTCCATGGCAGTCATTCTAACTTTGGACAGCTCTCAGTTTAGGGAAAAAAAGTCTTTTTTCAGAGGAGCCAAAAACCTGTCTCCTATTGTCATAATTCTCACTCTAGGGTCCACAGAGGACAATCCTCATTTCTCTTCCAATGATGATCCTTTGGAGAGCTTCCTCCCTTCTTAATCTTCTCTTCTCTAGGATAAACATCCTCCATTTCTTCCATCATTTTTCACATGATTTGATTTTATATGCACCTCAATTGTCTAATATTCCTCTTAAAATTTACATTCTGACGTAACAACACAGCTTTAGTCTGTAACAGAGTAGAGTAGAAGTATAATTTCCCTTATTTTACAGTGGTTATAGCTCTATTTTTGCAGTGCAATGTCAAGGTGGATTTTCTAGAAGTCACACTAATGTTCAGTATAATTGCTAACATTCATTAGGAGCTCCCCAGGTGCCAAGCACCTCGAAGATGCTTCACATGCATCATCTCATTTAATTCTCCTGACAACCACCTATGAGGTAGGTCCTATTTTTTATCCCCACTTCCAAATGAGAGAAATAAACCTGAGAAAAAATAAGCACCTTACCCAAGGTCAAATACCCCATAGGTGGCAAAATTTGGATTCTAGCCCGGGATTTCTGAAAAACTGGTAACTAACACCTATTGAGCACTCATGTGCCAAGCACCTCGAAGATTCTTCACATGCATCATCTCATTTAATTCTCCTGACAACCACCTATGAGGTAGGTCCTATTTTTATCCCCATTTCCAAATGAGAGAAATAAACCTGAGAAAAAATAAGCACCTTACCCAAGGTCAAATACCCCATAGGTGGCAAAATTTGGATTCTAGCCCGGGATTTCTGAAAAACTGGTAACTAACACCTATTGAGCACTCATGTGCCAGCACTGTGCTGAGCCCTTACTTCTAATGGGAAAAATTATTATTCCCATTTTATACAAAGGGAAACTGAGGGAACAAGAGGTGTAGTAAAATGGTTAGAAATTAATAACTAACTTATCCGAACAAGGTTACTTTATATACGCAGGTTCAGGATCTTATATTTATCTCTTACAAAATTAATCTTACTGCATTCAGTGCATCACTCTACCCTGTCAAAATTTTTAGATGCTGATTTCATCATCTAAAGTATTTTTATCCCTGCTACTTTTTTTACAACTGCAAATTTCATAAGAAAGTCTTCCATGTGTTCAAGTTACCAACAAATTACACCACATGAAAGGTGGCCTAGGAAAGATTGATCCACAAGCCACTAAAAACCTCTTTCCAGGTGCCCTCAATCCACTCATCAGACCTTAGGAACACAATCATTCAACCCCTAATACACTATCATCCAGTCCATATTTCTCCATTTGTCCACAAGGATACAAGGAATTTTTTAAGTATCCTACTGAAATATAGATTTGTCATCCCAGCTCACATATGGTAACTCTATCAAGAAAGAATATCGTATTAATGTGAAGTAATTTAGGGATAATATTATAAATCTATCGTGGATATTAGTGATTGCCATTTTTCTTGTACATATTCATTATGTTTTAAGAAACAAAACACTAAATTAGGTATACATTAAATTGTCTCCATACTCATGATACCATGTATTTATTCATGTAATTATGTATAACACTTTCTGCATTTTCAAAGTCAAATTTTAGTTCCAGTATCTTCCCACTCAGTCTTACGAGTCGTCTGAATTGATTTCGGTAGGCAGCATGACATGTTGCTTTCTGTAATCCGTGCTTGTGAGATTGACCTCTTGGGCATCTTTAAGATCAACAGTATTATTGTTAGGTTTTGTTTGCATTTCCCATTTAGTTAAACTGAGTTTCACTTTTTCCTTGATTGAATTATTCATCAGTGCAAGTGAATTACCTTCTCTTGAAAGTTATCCAGAAGCTTTTGATAGATAGATGTTTGGCACCTGAATAATAATCCTTTAAGACCACAAATCTGTCATGCAGTCTTTTCTGGCTTTGAAATGCTATAATATAGACAATAGATTTGGCAATTTTCTACTACCTTTGATTTCATTTTTGGCATTTACTAGCTCTTCTTTGTACAAAATAATGTCTCCTTTCAGCTCTGCATTATAATGTTATCTCTCTGTAAAACAGCTAAAGCAACATTAGGGATTCAAACTTAAATGCAAGCATCTGAATGCTACCGCATAGGACTGTATTATCACTTACAAAGATAACGACCACTAAGAAGCACAGAAGCTAGGGCATGGGTTTTTTTGTTTGTTTATTTGTTTGTTTGTTTGTTTGTTTTGACATTGCTTCCTGGGAAACACCCAGATGTCAGGTATGTCAAAATGTGAAAATACATAACTCTGACAATTGAAGAAATACAATAGTTACACATATTATTGAGGAGTTTAGGTCCTAAATTGTGTCCATTTTTCAAAGCAGTATCAAATTGACAATTTTCAACAGTAGATTTCTGGTCTCCATTCCCTATCTACAACCTAAAACAGAAGATGAAGCTGTTTGATTAAGAAGAAATAAAGGTCATACATCTAAATCAACTATTATAAAATATTTTGTTTAAAATACTTTATATTTTCTAACCGAATACCAAATTTCCCCCAGGTATTTTTGTAAAGCTGGTGTTACCGCTATTGTCCTGTCCCAGTTAGTTTTATTTTAAATATATCTGTAGTGCTATTATCCCCCTGAGAGATAAAAAAGGTCACTTTCCTTTTAGAAAACACAGAATTATTCAACAGAGCTTAATAACTGCACTGCTAATGTAATTCTTGCTATACCTCTGAAAGAAAATGCTTCTTGAGACAGATTCAGACCAAGTTTCATTTGTAATGTTAATGTATTTTGCCTGAGAAAGATTCAGCTGTGTCACTTCTTCACATGTTGGCCAGATCCTAAGAAGGTTTTGGTAATAGAGTGGAGAAAGACACTCGTTCTCATTTCTCATCTCAGTCTAGAAATAAAATGACATTAGCCACTTGTAGTATGCCAATTCATGTTCCTTTGATTATTTTATGACTCCTTAGCATTTATAAAGTAGTCCTTCAATTTTGATACCACATATCCTGATTGGCATTTAATGATGTTTTTGTTGTTGTTAACAAAATGAGGTGGCCTAAGAAGTTTATTAATATTATAACCTAAAAAAATAAAATTACCGAAATGATTTGAGCAAGAGCCAGCCCACCTCTTTCTTTTTAAGTGGAGGCTGGTGGGGAAAGTACCTAAATGCTTGTGGTTTTAGGGTAGCAACTCAGTTTTGAATCTTACTCAGGGAAAGAAAGAACAAGATGTGTTTTCAAATCTATTCAGGAAATAAATTTTTTCTAAGCAATATAAGAAAGTAATTAAGTAAACAACATGAAGCCATCATCAAAGATGGAGGTTATTCATAGAAGAAACTGAATAAAACAGTTTTTACACAGTAGTAAATAGTTATTATACTTGTTTCACACTCCCATACTTCATCCCATTCTAATTACCTGTTTATAATTGCTAGGTTAACTGATAATAGTTTAACTGATAGTTTTGATTCTACTATCAGTCTTCCATAAATGACATGTTGTAGATTGCATAAAACTGACAGGTTTATGCAGCTATGGATAACTCAAATTATTATTAAATAATATTATATTAAATATATTTATTTTAAAAATACATTAAGTAATAAATTAGTTCCCCTACTAATTCAACTTCAAATTGCTTAGCCTAGAATTCATGGCTCTTTCATGCTGTAGCCTCAGTCTGGCTTTTTATTTTTATCATTAACTATTTCTTTAAAATCACCTACAATTCAGCCAAACATACTGTTCTCTAAAGTCAGTCCATGTTTTTTTACCTCTATACCTTTGTTCATGCTCTTTGATCCTTCTACCTGGAATGAACTTCTACTCATCCCCCTGTGTCTATCCCATAGATTGGGATAAAATATCATCTTTTAAAAAAAGCTTTGCTTTATTTCCCCAGTTAGGTGTGCACATTTAATTTACACCATTTTACTGAATTGATCACTTATATCATTAAAGTCTTTGAAATCCAGAAACTTTTCAATGTACTTATTGGTATCTTCTGCAGTATAACACAACACATCACATAATAGAGTGCCTAGTAAATATGTAAATATATATATATGAATAAATGTCTAGTCTACAATCTTGTATTTATACTCTCTCATATTCATAAAGGATCCCCTCATTCTTTCCATGCCAATCTTAAATTTATTGTAGGAATAAATTATATTCCAAGACTCTAAAATTTCATTTTCTGGTAATATGACACATTTACTGGAAATGTGACCAACCCTCCCACTGAAAATAATTAAAATAATAAAAAATATGTTTAAATACATTGATGTGTTAGAAGGAGAGGACTCTCAGAAGTGAAAAACTATTCATATTGCATGCCTTATCAAAACATTTCGTGTGTCCCATAAATACATATACCTACTATGTACTCACAAAAATTAAAAATTAAAGAATTTAAAAAATAAAAAGTAGTGAAAAACAAATTGAAAATAGAAATCTAGAGAGGTAAGCTGAGCTTTCAATCTGATTTCACCTTAAGGACATTTGCCCATGAAGGTGAACGTGAGCTTCTGTATTCACAGGTAACAGGAAATAAATCCTGAGAGGAACATACCCAAGATGAGGAATCTTAAAAGAGATGCCTTAATAAATCAGGAATCTCAAAGTCCTAAACCCTCAAGGTACATGTAAACTAGAAATAAATCCAGGGAACAGCAGGGAAGATTGTTTATTACAAAATATGGCGTTGGGTAGAAGGAAACATAAAATTGCCCCCTTGGGATTCGTTTGCACAAGCTGGCCCTCACCTGAGCTTATAGCCCAACCTCATACTACCTGGGGATATTCAAAAAACCTCAGAGAAGAAAATTTAAAGTGTTTCTGTGTTGGTAGACTCCCTTCCCCCGGCCACCAATGTTCAGCAGAAGCAAATGCAAATAGTCACTGAGGTATAAATTGTTAATATAGGGCTCAGAAACATTCAACAGATAAAATTCCAAAAACTAAACTAATAGTTAAAACTTACAAAATGCGCAGAGAAACAAGTCATCTTGGGTGAGAGGTAGTAGAAGCAACAGATAGCAAAGTTAGATACATAAAGACTTCAAATGTTGGAATTATAAGACAAATGATGAAAAATATATTTAATATATTTTAAAATGTAAAAAACCCTGAAAATATAAGAGGAAAAGAAAAGAATATAGAAAAGACAAATTTCATTTTAAAAAAAGAAACAGAGAGAGAGAGAAGGGAGGAAGTGAGAGGGAAGGAAGGAGAGGGAGAGGAAGGGAAGGAAGGGAGTAAGGAAAGGAAGGAGGAAGAGAAAAGGAAGAAGGTCAGAACATTTAGGAATTTAAAATATAAGGCTGGGCGCTGTGGCTCACACCTGTAATCCCAGCACTTTGGGAGGCTGGCCGGCAGGTGGGGGGCAGATCACTTGAGGTCAGGGGTTCGAGACGAGCCAGGCCAACATGGTGAAACCCCATCTCTACTTAAACTACAAAAATTAGCCAGGCATGGTGACTAATTTCTATTAGCTATTTGGGAGACTGAGGCAGGAGAATCACTTGAACCTGGGAGGCAGAGGTTGCAATGAGCCGAGATAGTGCCACTGCACTCTAGCCTGGGCGACAGAGTGAGACTCTGTATCAAAAAAAAAAAAAAGGAAATTTAAAATATAATAATTGTATTAGTCCATTTTCACACTGCTGATTAAAGACATACCCTAGACTGGGCAATTTACAAAAGAAGGAGGTTTAATGGACTCACATGTCCACATGTCTGGGGAGGCCTCACAATCATGGCAGAAGGTGAAAGGCATGTCTCACATGTTGGCAGACAAAAGAAGAGAGTTTGTGCAGGGCAACTCCTCTTTGTAAAACCATTAGATCTCCTGATATATATTCACTATCACGACAACAGCACAGGAAAGACTTGCCCCCATGATTCAATTAACTCCCACTGGGTCATTCCCACAACACGTGGGAATTCAAGATGAGATCTGGGTGAGGATGCAGCCCAATCATATCAATAATAATGAAATCCAAAACTCAGTATATTCTCCTTTTCCATTCTTTATCTCTTTCCTTTGGTCCAGGCCAAGAATTCAGGGTTGATTTTTTTTAATTAAATAAATGTCTTTACCTGATGTGGAGGATCCACAAAAATAACTACCATTGAACATTATACTTAAGGGTAAAAACATTCATTTTCAGATCAGGAAAATTATCAGAATATCCATTTTTTCCAACCTTGGGTTGGAGTTATTAGCCAACACCAAAAGGGGATAAAAGGAATAAAAGTAGAAGAATAGAAGACAATGAACTAAATTATCATTAGTTGCAAGTGAAATTACTTTGTTATAAAAAGCTTCTGACAGGATCTACAGAAGATTTTTAGAATTAAGAGAAGAGTTTACTACGTTTGCAGAATATAAAAATCAACATGTAAAAATCTATTGCATTTCTGTATACCAACAATACAGAGTTGTACAGGAAGATTTTCAAACTAAAATAAAAGTCTATAAAATACTCAAAATAAATAAAATAAACTGTGCAAAACCATTACTGACAAAAATATAAAACTGTAACTGAAATTCTGTACATTAAAGAAGGCCTAAATAAATAGAGGTATACAATGCTCATGAACTAAAGGACTCAATGTCATAAAGATGCCAGTTCTATAATTGATATGTAAATTCAATGCAGTGCCAATAGGAACTTCAACAGGTTTTTTTATCCTGTGTATGTATGTGTACAAATTAATATGTTGAGTCTAAAATTTATATTTAGGTTCAAAGATCAAAAAATTGTTAAGACATTATTCTATTGAGGAAGAAGAAAAAGATGCTTTGTGCATTTTCCTTATTAGATTTCAAGATTTATTATAAAATTAAAGAAATGAAATTCAAGTGCTACTGACATGGATTGATAATTAAAGAAATGGAATAAAGAGTTTAGAAACAGACTCATACATTTATTACTTAATATATGACCAAAGTGGTATTAGAAATTTGTGGAAGATAAATAGACTTCAATAGATGGTGCTGGGACCATTGGGCATCTATGAGGGGGACAAATGATATTGTGTCTCTAATACCATAAGCAACAATCAATCAACTTCAGTTTTATTAATAATCTATATGTGATTGCAAAAAAGCTACAATTAGAATACAATCCAGGAAAATATTTTTGATGGCCTCCCTATGGAAAAATTTCCTTAATAAAATGCACAAACATAAAGGAAATTATTGATAAAATGGACTACATAAAAATTACGTACTTTTGTTCCTCAAAAGACACCAAGAAAAATATTAAAAGTGAACAAACACAAAGATACAAACCAGAAGAAGATATTCCTGGGAGAAGGATTTGTATCCAGAATATGTAAAGAGTTCTTTTTTGTTTTTGTTTTTGTTTTGTTTTGTTTTGAGACAGAGTCTCACTCTATTGCACTCTATTCACTCCCAGGCTGGAGTGAAGTGGTGCGATCTCAGCTCACTGCAACCTCCACCTCTTGGGCTCAAGTGATTCTCATGTCTCAGCCTCCCAAGTAGCTGGGATTACAGGTGTGTGCCACCATGCCTGGCCCAGAATATGTAAAAGAGTTCTTATAAAACAATAAGAATAGAGAAACCAGCAACGTTTTTTTAAAAAAAAAAAAAATCCCTTCAACAGATTTAACTTGTTAACTACATACAAATACTTCCTAAATCTCTATTGCAATGTCCTGTAACCACATTAATTTTAATAAATTTAAAATTGAAATAATCTTTTTCCTAAAGTCATCTGTCTCAAACCTTGTAGTAATGCTTAGCAATTAAGTTACTTTGCTTTCCACATTCAGTTGTTCACAAAATACAGTCAGTTCTTCCTCTGCAAAGTTTCTCACATTTTTGTCCTTTTTATTCCTATGTCACTGTCACCATTCAGAGTCTCATTTTCTTGAACCTCTGATAAAGTTCTAACTGGTCTCCCTGCCTCAAATTTCTCACTTTTACACCTTTCCTGCTTCCTGCTCACAGATCTAGATTAATCCACATTTTGTGTTTTAGAAAGCACTCTAGGAAAAAATAGAATTAATCCACTTTAACACAATTTAATTTCAAATTAAAACATGTTTAATCATAACCATATAATAAAATATTATTAAATGTGATCTAAGAATGGAGAGTGGCTTTTTGGTTAAAAAAGTCACGAAACGATATATTACAGAGTTAGCAACACAATGTGGTGAAGAATATATGAACTCTAATTGGTTAACCATAGGAAAAAAATAAAATTATGTGTGTTTTATTAGGAACATAATAACATACAACAGTAAAAATTAAAGAACTACAGCTACATAAAGCAACATAGATGAATCCAAAGAACATAGTTCTAAACAAAAAAGCAAGCTATACAAAATGCAAGTAGTATAGTTCTATTCATATAAAGCTCAAAACATGTACCACCTATGTGGATTGTTTTTTAATTTATAATACTGCTGGTTCTTTACAATCTGAAGGCAAGCAATTTATTTAGGTAGAAATTTGAAAATAATTTTATTACATTATGAATTTTCTGGGGCTCAGCCAAGGAGTTTTCATCAGTCCTTTTTCAGAAATTGGTGAGATATAAATTAGAAAGGAAGAAAAAGAGAATAAAATGTGAAAAGCAGAATGAGAGAGGTATGCATATTTTTCTCTGGTGCCAAAATGAATACATTTTAACTTTTCAACTTCACCTTTCTTTTACCTTTTTTCAGAGCTCAAGTAAGCAATCTTTTATTCTGCCTTGCATGCCTTATAAAATGCTTAATATATCGACCAGAGGATACAATAATCAGTTATATTAATATCAGCATTACTATGTAAAGCAATGAACCTTGTCCAAAGACCTGGTTTCTACATACACTTCCACAATTTGTTCACGTATCCTTCATCAAGTCACATAACTACACTGGGCCTCAGTTTTCCCTTCTGTTAAAACAGAAATTATCATGCCTGCCTCAGAATATCCTCCTGAGAATTAAAATAGTAAATACATATTTTTGTAAAGTTCCTGTGTGGTACCCAACATGTGATAGGCATTCAACAAATATAAGTTCCCTGCAACCATTAATGTGCTACAGAATCATCTGAGTCATTTAAAAATAAGAAGGGGAAGGGGCAAAATTGGACTTCAGAAGGCAAGCAGCTGCTTAATTTGCTCCCATTCCATAATTATGAGGTCACTAAATCTGTTGAAAATATATTTATTTATAAGTCTTTTGTGACAAAAAAGAAGTCATGGTAATTCTAACTTTTGTTTGCTTTTCCTTAGCTAGTGATGTCACTATGTGTTCAGTATTCCCACTGGTTTATTTCCCTCTTTATTTTATATAACAGTCCTTTGCCAATTTGATGACAACCAACATGTCCTGTCATTTGTTTCCTGTTCTTTTATGTAGTTTTCTCATGACCCAGATCCCAAACTACTAATCCCATCCTCCTTTAAGTTGCCTCTGACTGGTGAATATGCAGTCTATTTTTATGCTTATGAAAATAATTAACCTGTTATTGGTATATTCAATTTCCTACACTGTTGAGGCCCTCCTTCTGTTGCTTCAGTTGTTGAACATGGAGGACTGTCTGCAATTGTCTATGAGGAATCCGGACATAAATTTGAACCCAGAAAACATGCAATGATACATACCATAATGTATACATTATTCCTGGGGTTAAACCCTAGGAATGACTGCCCCCAATGACTTACTTAACCAGAATGAATCCAGACTTCCTGCCTTAATCCATTTTCTCTATCTGTGCACGCGAACTTTTAACTCTGTTTTTACTTTCACAATGTCTAATACAATGATATGCACCAAGCTGATCATCAATAAATCTTGTTGACTGACAGATTCCTTTTAAAGAATGTGACATAGACAATGGGAAGGTCACATTTCCCCACCTTTTGAATCTAGGTCAGGCCATGTAACCAGTTTGGCCAATGAAATGTAGGGTGGCGATACACCTCACTTTCTGGCCTGACCCCTGAAACATCCCATGCGGTCTTCCACACTCTTTGCTTGTCAGCTGGTCAAATGAAGGGCACTCGGTGAGGGAATCTGGAAGTTTTCCTGGAAAGTAGAAGCACCCAATGGAAGGAACCTGGGTCCCTGACTCAACACCGGGGAAGAAAACCCCTAGGAGAGCCACCTGGTCTCTTTTGGTCTGTGACATCAATAAGAAATAAAACATTCTGTATTAGGCCACTGCAACTTGAAAGCCGTTTCTCATAGCAGCTAATGTTAATTAGTGTGTCGAGTATCATGAACCACCTTACTACCTGACAGTTTACATGTCAGAATAAAGCACAAGATAAAGCTATGGAATCTTTTCAAAAGTAATTTTGATAATTCAGATAATTCCCAAAAGTAATTTTTAATGGAATTGTTCAGATTTTCTATTGAAAACTTAGATTTAGTACATAAAGCCCTGAGCCTCCCTTAACTATTTCATATAATCACTTTCAACTTTATTTATTTATAACCAAAACAAATCTGCATCCACTACTTCTAATAAATTATATTCTAAGAAACATAAATGTTCTTGAGAAAAAAGAAACTAAACTATCCTCAAGAATATTTTCTCATATATTCTGGCTCTGATCTGTCAGTATAATTTAGATTGTGATTGGCCTAGTCCAGTCAAAACCATACCTGTGTGTTACAAGCATCATGTAAGTGTGACCTCTCTAAGTATTAAATACTAGGAAATACATAAGAATGAAAATCAACAGATAGTTTGGGCAATATTGGGGGAACGTCAAACCGATTTATTTTATTCTTAATAATCTCTAGTTCCTAGGCATTCCAAAGCTCTTAGAATAGCTAGCCTTTTGTTATAGTTGACTTCTAGCATAGTTTCTTTCATAATGTAAAAAGAATATCCTTCTTACCCTTAACTATAAGTTGTGAAACTTAGAACTTACAGGTTAAGAATATGTGTGTTTGGAGACAATTCTCCATGAGTCTTTCATGTTTCTTTACATCTTGTAGAAGGAGGCTGACAGCCTTTCATTCTGCACTGACTGTTGAAAGATGACACATAGTGAACAGTTTTGGAAAGCAGAGATAGTATGTCCTTCTGAAGCACAGAGTAGGTTTGCCGTACAGTAAACTAAAAATAATGTCTTCGTCTGGTTAAAAGTTTGTGCAAGTTTGAGGTTTTTAAGTTTAGGGTTCCTCAGCTGTAACGTAAATCTACTGTGTGCACAGCACCCATCTAGGGCCATCGACATTGCTCCATGGGACTTGAGGGACTTGGAGAATGGGCACTAACATGAGGCCCATGCTGCCTCATGTGCCATGAGTAATAAAGTCCTCAGTATGACTCAGGAATCTCATGTCTTCTGCCAGCCCCCATGAAACTGTAACAAGCTAACTTGTTAGCTTGAAAGCAGGGCAAACCTCAGACTTTTCATAATCCTAGATAACATGATATAGGAGATGTCTACTCCAAAAAAAATAAGCAAATAAATAAAAAGACAGAGAGAGCCCACGCCTTCCTGTTCAGAGAGAGTGTAGAAAATAGAAATGACAAGGAAATCCAAAAGTAAGATCAAATGACTATGCCTTTCCGTCCTCTCTCAGGATGGGATGCCTAGACAGAACAGGGGGAATGGAGATACATGCCCTGATAAAGGTACCTGAGGTGCTGAGAGAGCTGGAGGACAAGCAAAAGCCTGAAGTTGGGATTGTGAGGCTGTGATCTTCACATCTAGAAACATATGACTGGGATCAGGTATATGCCAGCCTAGTGTCCAAATGACCACATAGGCCCAAGTACACCTCACTGGACACTAGCCAGAATAGCCAATTCACAGCAGAGACCGGCTAAAATTTAGAGATGCCTGTCTCCTCCTACAATCATGTAGTCACTCAGCGTCACCCCCAAATACACCCAGATACCATTTTGGAATGTTATTGAAGGAGGTTAAAGAAATTTTAAATCTAAGAATCAGAATCATTCAGAATAGATTATTTTAAAAAGATGATACTGTTTACTGGCAAGTTTAAAGTCTATGTCTCATCTCTTCCTCCCCCATTTCTGCCACAAGAAGGTACAGGAAACTTTAAAGTTACATTTTATTGGCCTGTTATATGAGTAAATTTATAATCATTGATAAATATAGGGCCACAGCAATTGCATAAAGAAAACATCTGATTTTTAAATCCTGATATCTATAAATGATAGTATAGGTACAAAGAACTAGAAAGTACATGACTGGTTTGAAAGTCCTCTGATCCAATAATATGAATTCTAAATTGGCCAGACTGTCACATACTTGAGAATGGCAACTGAACTTTACTTATCTTTGGATCCCTCCCTCCCTCCCTAACTAGCATAGCATATAATGAAGAAATATTTGAATATAACTTACTGGTTAATTCCCGATCATTTTAGAATTTAGAGTTCCACTGTGTCTTTAAGTCTTACTTTTCAAAACATTTTGATTACATGAAAATACCTTCAGAAGAGTTATTTCTTTAGCTCTTATAACAAAAAGACCTTATCAGGATTAGTATAAGACTGGAAGTAAGAGAAGTGAGCAGAGTTCTGAGAAATAATAAAGAGTAGGAGTAAAGGGGAAAAAATTGACAGGTCAAACAAAATTCTGCTTCACAATTTTGCCCTGGACCAGCCCTGAAAAAGAGTGTGCAAGAATAGTCATTTTCCTCCTGAAAGGCATTTTATTACTCTAACAGCTAAACTAGTAAACTAGCATGATTGAGAAATAGCAAAAGGAAAATGGTATCTCCCCAGTGATTCTTTCTCATTTCAGATACTATCCACTGTTCTGAGTTAAAGTATTTGAGAAAAACGCACCCCTCCCCTCTAAAGGTATCCATGTCCTAACCCCCAGAATGTATCAGTATGATACCTTACCTGCCAAAGGGGACTTTGCAGATGTGATTGAGTTAAGACTCTTACAAGGGGGAGAAGGGAGGAACTATCTGGAATTATCCAAAATCCCAATGTAATCATAAGGAAACTTAAATGTGAAAAGGGAAGCAGAAGAGTCAGAGTTAGAGTGATGTGGTGCAAGAAAGACTCAACAGGACATTGCTGGCTTTGAAGATGGAAGATGGAGGTGGGAGACCCTTAGAAACTGGAAAAGGCAAGAAAACAGAGGCTTCCTTGGGGCCTCCAGAAAGGAGCGTAGCCCTGCCAGCCCCCCGATTTTAGCCTAACGAGACCCATTTGAACGTCTCACCTCCAGAACTGTAAGATAATAGATTTGTATGGGTTTAAGCCACAAATTTTGAGGCAATCTGTTATAGCAGCAATAGGAAAGTAATACAATAGTCATCAAAAGCTTCTTTTAAAATGTAAATATTGTGAGAGGGAAGCAAGACTGAAGTAAGAATCAAACCATTATTCAATCAATATATTTGTTTAATCATGTGAGAAAAGGCTTTTGAAATCTGCCTTAAGACTGGCACATTTTCAGTTGTTATGTCCATCAGGAAGAATTCAAACATGGCACGTCCTCTCCAGTGGACTAGGAAGCCAGGATGCAGTTCTGTAGGGAACGTAAGAGCTAGACAAGGGCATGGGGTGACTGAGGCACTGAAATGGAGAAGGATTCCAGGAGTTTTTTATGTTTCTGTTTCCCTGAGAGGTTCTTAAAACATGAATAGTAAAAAAGAAACACAGTAGTAAATATCCAGGCTTGTGGGATAATGAAAAAAATCAATCATTAAACAACTTCATCTCCAGGATGACTTCAGTAATTTAGGAAGTAATGGCCTGTCCTAGATATGAGTATGTTTCTTGATTTTTGGAAAATAGATACAACCTTACATTCACACCAAAAAAGAAGTAGATGGCAAGTAATTATTTGTTGACTAAATACAGTATAAATAGTATATTAGAGGCTAAGCTAGAAATAATTTGAAAAAGGTGAATGCATCAATTTTATTTACTTAGAATTTTTAAAAATTAAAATTAATGCTAAGAATGAAACCAAATTGTTAACAATGGTTGTCTTTAGGTGATGAAGCTAAAGAGTTATAATTTTTTCTTCTTTTTACTTTTTTATATCTTTTTCTAATTTTATATAATGAACATGTACTACTTTAAAAATTATTTTTGTGGTAAGAGCAGTTAACATGAGTTCTACTCTCTCAATGAATTTTTAATTATACCATACATTATTGTTACTATAGGTACAATGATGTATAGCAGATCTCTAGAGCTTATTTATCTGGCTTTACTGAAACTTTATGCCTGTTGATTCATAACTCCCCATTCTCCCTTCTGCTCAGCCCGAGATAACACTATTCCATTCTTTGAGCCTATGAATTTAATTATTTTAGATAGCTCATATAAGCGAAATCATGCAGTATTTGTCTTTCTGTGTCTGGCTCATTTAACTAGCATAATGTCCTCCAGATTAATCCATGCCATCACATATTGCAGAATTTCCTTCTTTTTTAAGGCTAAATAATATTCCATTATGTGCATATAGCACGTTTTCTTTATATATTCACCAGTCAATTAACATTTTGGTTATTTTCACATGTTGGCTACTGTGAATAGTGCTGCAATGAACATGAGAGTGCAAATATCTCTTCAGGAACCTGATTTCAATTCTTTTGGATAAATACCCAGATCTAGGAATCTTAGATGATATGGTAGTTCCATTTTTAATTATGGGGGGAATCTCCATACTGTTTTGCATAGCATCATAGCACCTACACCAGTTTGCATTTGCACTAACCATGTGCAAGCGTTCCAGTTTCTCCATATCCTCCTCAACACCTGTTATCTTTTGTGAGATTTTTTAAAATAATGACCATACTAATGGGTATGAGGCAATATCTCCTTGTGGTTTTGATTTGCATTTCTCTGGTGATTAGTGGCATTAATATTTTTTCATATATGTGTTGTTCATTTGTCTGTGTTCTTTGAATGTGTATTACTCTTAAATCTGACAAATTAATAGACCTTTAAAAATTAAGGTCGGCCGGGCGCGGTGGCTCACGCCTGTAATCCCAGCACTTTGGGAGGCCGAGGCGGGCGGATCACGAGGTCAGGAGATCGAGACCATCCCGGCTAAAACGGTGAAACCCCGTCTCTACTAAAAATACAAAAAATTAGCCGGGCGTAGTGGCGGGCGCCTGTAGTCCCAGCTACTTGGGAGGCTGAGGCAGGAGAATGGCGTGAACCCGGGAGGCGGAGCTTGCAGTGAGCCAAGATCCCGCCACTGCACTCCAGCCTGGGCGACAGAGCGAGACTCCGTCTCAAAAAAAAAAAAAAAAAAAAAAAAAATTAAGGTCTTCCTTCACTAATTTTTTTTAGTGCAGGAATGGTTTTTATAACATAGTGAATGTTAACAATTGAAAAGGAAAGTTACAGCTTTACATTCAAAAAAAGAACTTCTTTTTTTGCTTTCATGATTTTTAGTTGACACATAATAATTGTACATATTTTTAGGTACAGTGTGATATTTTGATACATGTGTATAACGCATAATGATCAAATCAGGGTAGTTAGCATATCCATCACTTTAAACATTTATCACTTATTTATGTTGGGAACATTCAAAATCTACTCTTCTAGCTATTTGAAAATATACAATAAATTGTTTATAATTATAGCCAATCTATTGTGCTTCCTCCTATCTAGCTGGACTTTTGTATCTGTTAATCGACCTTTGGCTACTCCCCCAAACTCCTGTCCTTCCCCTGCCTCTAGTAACTATTCTATTCTCTACTTCTGTGAGATCAACTATTTTGGCTTCCATATATTGGTTAGATCTTAATTAATGGTCAAGAGGCAGCTTTGCATTGTATCAGTGACCTGTAAAAGTTCTCTGTAGTAATTATAATCTTTAAAGTACACCTTTGAGGAGGATGCAGAGGAAAGGGAACTCCGATAATACACTGCTGGTGGGAATGTAAATTAGTCAAACCTCTATGGAAAACAGTATGGAAAATTTCTCAAAGATGTAAAGATAGAACTACCATTCAACTCAGCAGTCCCCACCACTGGGTATCTACCCAAAGGAAAAGAAATCAACATATCAAAAAGATACTTGGACTCGTATGTTTACCGCAGCACTATTCACAACAGCAAAGATACAGAATCAAACTAAGTGTCCATCAACAAATAAATGGACGAAGAAAATGTGATACATATATCTCATGGAATTCTATTCAGTCATAAAAAGAATGAAATTATGTCTTTTACAGCAATATGGATGGAATTGGAGGTCATTCTTTTAAGTAAAACAAGCCAGGCACAGAAACATAAATATCACCAGTTCTTACCCATAATTGAGTGCTAAAAAATATGTTCACACAGACATGGATAGTGGAATGATAGATAATGGAGACTCAGAAGGGTGAGGGAGTGAGTGGTTGGAGGATGATGAGAAATTGGTTAATGAGTACAATGTACGTTATTTAGGTGATAAATAAAAGCCCTGACTCGACCACTATGCAATCTACACATGTAACAAAATTGCACATGTACCCCATAAATTTGTAAAAATAAAAAGGAAAAAAAATACACCTTTGAAAAGGGAGGCCAAGGAGCCACCTCCTTAGGAGAGTCATTCCAATCTTTTAGGAAATTTGCTCATCTTCCCTAGCAACTAGAGAAATGGTAGATTATTCAAATCTATAGGTAATCTACAAATATTAAAACATAATATTATAGAATTTATACTGACAAAAAGAGGACTGATCTCAGGGAACTTAAGCTTTACCTGCAGTGTTTTTATTTTTCAGAACAGCAACAGGCAAACTTTTTCTATGTCAAGCCAGATAGTAAACATTTTAGGCTTTATATGTCACAAGAATTTGTTGCAACTAAACTCTGCTGTTGTAGCTTGAAAGCAGCATAAACATGTAGTTACTATAATGAATTGCAATTTTTGTTTTTTTATGTTAGAGTATCATCCCATTATTTTCTACCCATGAATCATATGTGAGAGAAAGAATAAGTATGCATGAATATAAATATGTAAAATCAATGTGGCCTTGAAAATTGAAGTACAGACAAAAGCAATCTGATGGATTTGGGCCTAAGTAAAGTACAGACCAATCAATGAAGGGGAGTCTCAGCCTGGAAGTTAAGAGATTGGGCGCTGGTTCTACCAACAAACTTAAATTTGAGGCTGCTCAGTGTCTTCCTGAGTAAACTTAAAGCATTCTGATTCTACTTTATTTCTCCTGCCACCTGTAAGAGTTGTGCTACCTTATCTCTGGTGGTTAAGTACTGCTAACAACCCTCTGCGTTTTTAGGATACCATCATCCCCACTATTTCAATGGCAGCATCTCTCACTATCATCCCAAGCCTCCAGAGAACAGCCACCACAATTTTTTCATGGAGGCTGGAACTCCTCTTACTAATATATTTTTTAATGACTTAGTGAAGGGAGTAATTGCTAAGAACTCTGCAGTAGTATAGTGGAGGAGATAGGGTAGTGCAAGATTCCATATGATTAAGCTACACCAATATTCCTACCTCTTTAAACCCTTGAATTCCTTCCTCAATATTATGCTCAGAAGCTTTACCATCTCAACCTCATTGAATGTAGACCATCACTAAGTCCAGATTTTAGTCAACAAAGAAAACTGTTATAGCTACTTGCAGCTACTCAAGCTGATACATTAAATCCAGACTCCTTATGAATTCATATCAATACATTTAGGCTAATACAATATTATATTCTAACTACCTTCATCTAACAACCAGAAAATCCATTCACACATAAATTCCACAGGTTTCTGCCAACATATATATTAGCAAAATCTTGCAGTTATTTTGTGTATACATTATGCCCTCCTACGTCATACCTGGTATTTAATCTGACTCAGGTTATGGAACTGCAGGCCACAGGAGATGGTGCTGATGGATCTTCACAAGACTAGATATTCCATTGTAAAGCAACTGCCTCATGCAAGTTTATTACAAGATCTTCAAATAAGGGAAGGCCAGTCTTCACAAATACAATAGGAGGAACTGATTCTGCTGCAAGGGAGGTTCAGAAAAATTCAGGGGTTCAAGACTCTCAGCTCTGAGCCCACTTGATACCCCATTCCAAGTCTCACTCCTTCCCAATCAATGTCCTAACTTTCAAGTAACAGATTGACAAATCTGTAAGTTTAACTTGTAATTCTGCAACCTACACGATTAAGTTCTGGACTGACCTGCAAAGTCATCTCAGTGGCTACAAAAAGTAAAAGGTTCTTGTATGGCTGCTATAGAAACACTCTGGTTTTCCTACAATGTCTTTAGTTGAGAGTTTAAAGACCTGAACTTGTCACCTTTTCTCTGTAAGCTCTCCAGTGCAGTTAAAATTGGTTACCCTAACCTCTAGTTTTTGTGGTTTTCATTACTACCAAAAAGATATGTATGGCTATGCCACTTTATCTCCAAGGAATTTGCTTCAGTAAACACTTCATCACAATCAGCCACAAGAGATCATTTAATTAATTATGATATCAATATATGTCATGGATTATTAATAACTCATTTTTATTAGCAAAGGGTTGAGCAGTACATTTAAGGCTAAGAACATAACTGAACCAATTCTAGAATTCTATCTTTGAAAATTTGCTTTCTGGGACCACTCCTATTACTATGCATTAGAACCTGTTAAGAAAACAAGCACTATAGTATTTCAACAGAGAGGATTAAATACAAGGAACTGGTTATACAGGTATTGGTGACCTGAAAGAGCAAAATAGAAACAGGGATGTAACCCAGAGATAAGTACAGCTAACATCACTTTCGCCAGGAGAAAAGAAGAGTTTAGATTATCAGAACCTAGAAGCTCTAAAAAGGTGGGATCTGGCTACTCCAAGTACTCCTGAGGAGACAAATGAGGCTAATTATGCAAGTACCAAAAGCAACAGGAGCCTGAAACAAAATGCTGTTGCTAGGATCTCACTGATAAGAATAACAAGCAAACAGGATGAAAATCCCTTCTCTCCTCTGCCTAACTTCCAATCTAGCTGTAGGGCTAGCTACTGGCTGAACCTAGCAGAAAAAGAATGCTAGGAAATGTAGTTTGTGGAGTCCCAACTACATCATTACACTGCAGAGTAGAGATGATTTGGAGTGAAATGCCAATAGCTAAGTAACAGGTGCACTGCCAAAAGATGTTTCTCCTTTTATTCATTGGCCAGAAGTAAGTCACTTGGCCACATCCTACCTGCTAAGAAAGATGAAGAACATTATCTAAAATCTGGGCATCTTGTGTCCTTCTACAAAGAATGGGGAAGTAAATGTTGGGGACAACTTGCTGTTTCTGTCACGAAAGAAAACCCATGTCTGGCAGGCAGGTTCTGTTCCTGATTATATCCGACAGAAGAACTAGGTTACTAGAAATTGTTAAAATCATTCACTTTCTTACTTAAATATAAGTTATTATTTCTACCCATTGTGACTCTGATTTTTTTAAGGTAGGCCTCTAGTTATTCCATCCCAGGCCCTATAGCAAAGACTTGAATCATTGCCTGGTAAACAACAGTGCCTAGATTTTATGTATAAATCAAATGTTAGGTCATACCCAAATGGTTAGACTCAGATATGAGGCTGAGATAAAACTTTATCACACAAGAAAAACACTTGTATTATTTCTATGTAAAACATTCCCACTAAATTGACAATATAAACTGGAACTCTTAGATACGGAGGCTAGAAGTGTAAAATAGTACCATCATTGAAGGAAACCAGGAGTCTGTTACAAAGTTAAACATACGCCTATGCTGTGACACAGCAATTTCTCTCCTAGGTAATTACCCAAATGAAATGAAAGCATATATCTACAAAGAGACTGTTACAAGAATGTACAGGGACACTGTATTCATAATGCCCAATACCTTAAAACAAACCAAATGTTCATCAAGAGTAGAATGAATAAACATATTACTACTCAGCAAAAAAAAATGTATGCACCTGGTGTGTGCTACATTATTTAACATTATATTGACCAACAACAACAAAACACACATAAAAGAGTGCATATGGTGTGATTCCATTCAAGGACAAGAAATGATGATAGAAATCAAAATCATAGTTTCTTTGGGGTGTGGGCTTGGAGATTTATCAAACATTTAACAGACTTATTGAATTGTATACTTAAGATCTGTGTTTTTCACAAAATGTAAATTTAAATTCTCCTTCAATTAAAAAAAATGGCATCTTAAACATCAGAAAATTAACAAACATCTTTAAGAGATTAAAAATATGATGTACTTTTTTTGCTGCATTATATGGTTCTATATACTTCCTTTTTTACATAGTAAATGTTTTACTCTTATAATTAAAAATATATAATAAAGTTTTCTAGAGGGAAAACATGATTTACAACTTTTCTCCTGCAATAATATCTTAATGGCAATAATTCTTACTTATAAATGATCTAAAAGATCATTTTTATTTATAAATTATCTGAACAAGATCTGGGAAAAAATACAGGTTCATAAGCATATTCTTAAAAATCTACTTTCTTAGGCATATAGCAATGTTTTTATGTCTCCACCAGGTAGTAAAGCCAGCAGACCAACCCCCACTTACCTGATGGATTTGTCACAACTGTAAGTCTGGTCCTGTGCCTTGTACTCAGGGACCTGACAAGCCATCATGCTGAGAGCACAGCCATCTCCCATATAGACTTACATTAACCAACTCAAAAGACGGATGCATGAAAACCCTAATGCCAACTTAGTATTATAGAATTTTTTTTAATTGCATTTTCTCCACCTAGGTTCTGTTGGCTCTGTTAGAGAAGGGGAGAGCATAGGTTGCAGGGTCTGTTGGCTTTATTGGGGTTGGGAGTAGAAACACATGAGAACTCTAGCTCTGTGGGTAAAAGAAAAAAATTTGGAAGAGGATCTTCTAAAATCTAAAATCAAGGAATCATAATAATAACTGCTAACACATATAGTATTTACTATGTGTCAGCCACTGTTCTAAGTATGTTATAAATATCAATTCACTTAATCCACACAAAAAGTTTATCAGAAATCCTGGGTCCCTCACTGTTATGATTTGAATGTGGTTTGTCCCCTCCAAAACTCATCTGGAAATGTGGTCACTAAGTAACAGAATTAAGAGGTGGTAGAGCCTTTAAGAGGTTTTGGGGTTATGGGGGCTCCACCCTCATTAATGTCATTCTAGTGAGAGTAAGTTAGTTCTAGGGGTAGGGAGATTGTAATTACGAGAGTGGGTTGTCATAAAAGTGAGTTTGCCTCCCTCAGTCTTCTCTTGCTTCCTCTCTTGACACAGGATACCTTTCTCCATGTACTGAAGCAGCTCAAAGCCCTCGCCAGATCTCAGCACCATGCTCTTGGACTTACCAGCCTCCAGAACTGTGAGCCAAATAAACTTATTTTCTTTATAAATTACCCATCCTCAGTAATTCTGTTACAGAAACTAAAAATAACAGAGGGACATACTTATTAATACTAACTGTAGGACAAGGTAAGTCCCCACATATCACTGAACATCAGCTATAAAATGACAATAATAAAGTTATGGACCCTATGACTCATGGAGTTATTATGAGGATGAAATATGAAAATAAATAAAACATTTGGACCTGCGTGACACACAGTCAGCACAAAAAAATTATCATTCTAAAAATAAGTCATCCAAATATATTTTATACTGGCCAGATTAATTTTTTCTGTAAATCCCCACCTCTTTCTCGTATGATTTGTACACCCTCCCACTCCCCACAGCTTCCCCACATTTCTCTTGGGGTCTTGCCCCCTGATAAAGGGATGGCAAGGGGCAGGGGTCCTTTTGGGGCCACAGTAGCATTGAAGCTACAGTGGAAATTATGACAGGAAATCATGTTATCAGGAAACAACTCCAGTAATTGAAAATATTTTACAAAGAAAAGACTTAAGTGTGTATAATATTAACCTATAAGATTTGATTTTGTCTGTGTGGCTACAGAAGATAAGTTAAATTCTAATTCAACAGATATTAATTGAATATTTCCTTAGTGCTAAGATCTATGCCAGGGACTTTTATATATGTCTTCATTTGATTAATTTAATTCTCATTTAATGTTATTCTTACTACAATATTATGAAGTAGGTGTTATTGTCCCTATTTTACAAATGAGGAAAGTGATGTTCAATGGAAGTGGAGTATTTTGCCCAAGATTAAGTAACTATTTGTTAGGGAAATCAAGATTCAAAACAAGTTATTCCAGGCCCCACATTAAGTGTTCTTTCAGTAACTCCCTCCATGAGTGAAAGACATAAAAAGGCATATTTGAAAGCTTATAATACACACACACACACACACACACACACACACACACATATAATCATTAGAACTTGACTGAAAATGGCATGAGCAGTCATGGGATGTAGTTAGTTCTCCGTTATTGGAGGTAATCAAGTAAAAGCTAAATGACTACTTAACAAGAATATTATAGACAGGTTTCAATGTCAGACAACACAATAAATGGCAGATATCTTGAGTTTCTTCCAACTCTGAAACCCTTAAGTCTATAACTTTAAGTACACAAGTAGATTCTGTAGATTCCACTCAATTTAAAAATAAATAAATACACAAGTAGAAAGTTAAATAACACAACTAGTCAGCATACAGTTAAGAACCAAATATGCCAGTGACATAGGAATTTTTAAAAGGAGAGAGCTCCATGGACAGTGTGCTCCAGAAATGACTCCCTGGAGGTACCTCAAGGAATGCAAAGAATGACTTGGATTTGGACAGAGCATTTCAGGGGAGAACAGCATGCTCAGAGGCACAGGGGCAAGAAGGCATGTTTGGGAGACAGTGATGATATCAGCCCATCTTGAGTAGAAAGCTTTCTACACCAATAAGACTGAGTAGAAAAATAGAAATAGCTAGAGGGTTCTGGGAGTTTTGTTGTTGTTTTGTTTTTGTTTTTGTTTTTAACAATGGAGAGTGTTTGGAATACTTTTTTCAAGGGACCACATGAATAATATTTTAAAATTTTAAGAAAACAAAACAGGTTTCAGCTTTCTACATGTGGCTAGCCAGTTTTCCCAGCACCATTTATTAAATAGGGAATCCTTTCCCCATTTCTTGTTTTTGCCAGGTTTGTCAAAGATCAGATAGTTGTAGATGTGCAGCATTATTTCTGAGGGCTCTGTTCTGTTCCATTGGTCTATATCTCTGTTTTGGTACCAGTACCATGCTGTTTTGGTTACTGTAGCCTTGTAGTATAGTTTGAAGTCAGGTAGCATGATGCCTCCAGCTTTGTTCTTTTGGCTTAGAATTGACTTGGCAATGCGGACTCTTTTTTGGTTCCATTTGAACTTTAAAGTAGTTTTTTCCAATTCTGTGAAGAAAGTCATTGGTAGCTTGATTAGGATGGCATTGAATCTATAAATTACCTTGAGCAGTATGGCCATTTTCACGATATTGTTTCTTCCTACCCATGAGCATGGAACGTTCTTCCATTTGGTTGTATCCTCTTTTATTTCGTTGAGCAGTGGTTTGTAGTTCTCCTTGAAGAGGTCCTTCACATCCCTTGTAAGTTGGATTCCTAGGTATTTTATTCCTTTGAAGCAATTGTGAATGGGAGTTCACTCATGATTTGGCTCTCTGTTCGTCTGTTATTGGTGCATAAGAATGCTTGTGATTTTTGCACATTGATTTTGTATCCTGAGACTTTGCTGAAGTTGCCTATCAGCTTAAGGAGATTTTGGGCTGAGACGATGGGATTTTCAAACTGGATCCCTTCCTTACACCTTATACAAAAATTAATTCAAGATGGATTAAAGACTTAAATGTTAGACCTAAAACCATAAAAACCCTAGAAGAAAACCTAGGCAATACCATTCAGGACATAGGCATGGGCAACGACTTCATGTCTAAAACACCAAAAGCAATGGCAACAAAAGCCAAAATTGACAAATGGGATCTAATTAAACTAAAGAGCAAAATAAACTAACATCAGAGTGAACAGGCAACCTACAGAATGGGGGAAAATTTTTGCAACCTACTCATCTGACAAAGGGCTAATATCCAGAATCTGCAATGAACTCAAACAAATCTACAAGAAAAAAACAAACAACTCCATCAACAAGTGGGCAAAGGATATGAACAGACACTTCTCAAAAGAAGACATTTATGCAGCCAAAAGACACATGAAAAAATGTTCATCATCACTGGCCATCAGAGAAATGCAAATCAAAACCACAGTGAGATACCATCTCACACCAGTTAGAATGGCGATCATTAAAAAGTCAGGAAACAACAGGTGCTGGAGAGGATGTGGAGAAATAGGAACACTTTTACACTGTTGGTGGGACTGTAAACTAGTTCAACCATTGTGGAAGTCGTGTGGCGATTCCTCAGGGATCTAGAACTAGAAATACCATTTGACCCAGCCATCCCATTACTGGGTATATACCCAAAGGATTATAAATCATGCTGCTATAAAGACACATGCACACGTATGTTTATTGCGGCACTATTCACAATAGCAAAGACTTGGAACCAACCCAAATGTCCAACAATGATAGACTGGATTAAGAAATTGTGGCACATATACATCATGGAATACTATGCAGCCATAAAAAATGGAGAGTTCATGTCCTTTGTAGGGACATGGATGAAGCTGGAAAACATCATTCTCAGCAAACTATGGCAAGGACAAAAAGCCAAACACTGCATGTTCTCACTCATAGGTGGGAATTGAACAATGAGAACACATGGACACAGGAAGGGGAACATCACACACTGGGGCCTGTTGTGGGGTAGGGGTAGGGGGAGGGATATCATTAGGAGATATACTTAATGTTAAATGACGAGTTAATGGGTGCAGCACACCAACATGGCACATGTATACATATGTAACAAACCTGCACATTGTGCACGTGTACCCTAAAACTAAAGTATAATAAAAAATAAATAAATAAATGATTCAGATTTGGAAATTCTAAAAAAATAAAAAATAAAAAAAATGAAGTAAATAATTAAAGTTAAAAAAAACAACAAAAAACAACAACAAAAAAAAAACAGGACAGGAAGACTGTCCTGTTAGTAGCGAAACAGAGGATTAGAAAGAAAGATACAGGAAGAATTCACCACAACCCTTACACCAACAGTAATTTTTAATACATAAATAGCAAAAACTGTTCATACCAAAAGAAAATCCAGGTAAATTATTTTATCATCTTGAGGTAAAGGATTTTCTAAGCATAATTAATTCCAAAATGAGAAATAAAGAAAAATACAGACAGATTTGACTACATAAAACCTAAAATTTCTGGTTTGGTAAGTACAACCTGAATAAAGTTAAAAGACAACTAAAAAACTGGAGAAAATATTAGCTATATATATAATTAACTGAGAGTTAATATCCAGATAATAATCTTAATAAAACGCCTCTTAAAAAAAAAAAAAAAAAACACTGAAAGAGCTGAACAATCCCCAAAAGAGAACCTACAAAATGGACACGATAGTTAATTCAAAAAATAAGTGAAATATTCAAAAGATTAAATGATACTCAGGAGGAAGAGACACTTCTGTAACCCAATGGTGAATGTAAAATTTTGTTAATTGAGCAGTAAGTATCAAATGAAATGTGTTCATTTTTGGCCCAACAATTCCACTTCTAATAATTTAGCCTGAGGAAATTATCAGGCAAGTGTATATTTACAAAATGTTCATTGTGGTATTGTGCATAGTAGTAAAAAATAGATATGGGCTTAACATTCTATTATATGAAAAGACATTGCTTAAATGCACTGTAGCACGTTCATTTATTTGGATTCTATGAAACCATTAAAAATCTTTTGTAGATCTAGATGTAGTAACATGAAAAGATGTCCATAATTAACAAGATAACTAACAACATGTTAACAAGGTAAGATTACCAAATAGCACATATAACATAATGCCATTTTTTGAAAATATATTTTCAAGAACAGATATAAAGTATCTGGAAGACTATACACTGAAATATCAAAGAAGGTATCTCTGAGATTACTGATAATTTTTTATTCCCTTCTTTAGACTTTCTAAATATATGAAATTTTATATATCAATGTATTCTTGAATATTTATTTTACAGAAGGACAATAAAGCTGTTTTATTTCAGAGCTAGAGAAAGAACTAGGCTGATTAACAACTGGGTATGAGTGACAAGAAAGACAGCAGAGTTAAGAATGATACTGAAGTTTGACCCATAATTAATTGGAGAATAACTGAAGAAAGAAGGACAGCAAAGGAATCATTTTAGAATTGAGAGCTGAGTTTTATATTAATCCTTGTGTCTGAGATGACATGAAAGTCCAGAAGAAATATCTGGCAAGCACTCTGTCTTCACTTTGTGGCCAACAAAGTAATAAGTGTTGGAATCACACAGGTTTCAGCCTCCTGTGTTTTGGGTCCTAGCCTCAGCTGGTTTTGAAGCAGAATAGGGACTAGGGTGAGGCAAGTTAGGTGTTCACCTCAGGTGTAAAATTTAAGGAGACCAAAAATCGCATTCATCAACATAAATGATAATTTTGTGCAATATTTTAGAAAATAAAAATTAAGACAAAAAATCCATGATAAAATATCAAAAGCTTAACTAAGGACAGGATCTGTATTATTAATTTTTTATTACTTTTCACTCATCCTTTAATATGCTCAGCAAGAAGCCACTATTAATCCTGACTTTATTTCAAATTTTGATATTTTGATATTTTGTTTGGCATGGATTTTTAGCAAATGCCTCTAGAGCCAGAGCTGTTTAAGAGAAATGGAGATAACATCACCCAGGTAAGCTAGTTTACTAACTAACCCAGGGCTGCTGTAACAAAGTAACACAAACTGGATGACTTAAATAACTGAAATTCATTGTTTTATGGTCTGGTAGCTAGAAGTTTAAGATCCAAGTATGTGTCAGCTGGGTTGTTTCTTTGTGACAGCTGTGCTCAAAAATCTGCTTGATGCCTCTCTCCTAACTCTGGTGGTTTGCTAGAAATCTTTCGTATTCTATGGCTTATAGATGCCCCCAATCTCTGCTTTCTTGTTCACATGACATTCTTCCTCTGTGTGTATCTGTCTCCAAATTTCCCCTTTTTATAAGGACACAGGCCATACTGTATTAGGGGCCCACCCTACTCCAGTATGATCTCATCTTAGTTTAAATCATTACTTCTGCAATCACTCTATTTTCAAATCAAGTCACATTCGAGGGCACTGGGCACTGAGATTTCAGCATATGAATTTGGAGAGGGCAGACACAACTCGACCCATAACATCATGTTTAGTAGAAGTTTGAACACAGTTAATCCCAGAACCTCTATCCTGGACTCAGTGATGAGTGGGGTTGACCTATAGTCTCTGGCTTCCTTTTGACTTCATTTAATTCTATATCCAGAAATGAATATTTTATAGACTGGGATAGGTATTCACCTGAGTACAACCTACTCACCAGTCCATTATTTCTGACTCATAACTCAGGCTCTGGAAGCGAAGGAAGCAAAGAAGAGTCAAGGAGAAGCCAGGGATCAAAACATACCTTGGGAGTATGGGAAATCCTAGGCAGTGTCCCCAGGCTATCTCCTAGTTACACACTCATCTTCCACTCCCTATTACTCATATCCAGTCTTTAGGAAAGAATGGAAGCATCTATGACTTGGATTTTCACTTTCAACTTACATCACTGAAATAACAATGGCCAGCCTTAATCTCACCTTTATAACATGATTTCATTTAATCTTCGCAACAACTCTACAAAGCAATATAGATATGGAATCCGAGGCTTAGAGTTCACACAGACAGTAAGTAGCAGACCCAGGACTTAAACTCCTATCTTGTCTGACTCATAACTTAGGCTCTGGAAGGGAAGAAAGCAAAGAAGAGATGCTTGAAGGTCCACACTGCATAATGGATATAAATCTTAGGCCCATTTCTAGGGCTTTGTCACACCAGGGTAGGCTGATCACTACACAGAAGAGGACCCTCAAACAAACCTCATGTCCACCCTTTTCTGCCTCTTACAAAGATTGCCCACGTGCTAACCTCCCTTCCTTCTACAATTACCTAGAATATAAATTTGGAGCCCTTTGTAGAGCACTCCCGCAGAGTTCAGTGACTTTCTAAAAGAGATGCTATAACATAGATGCTCTTAATAGGAAACTGGTATGTGTCCCCTGGTCAGTGTGAACACAGTTTTCTTAAAGGTCAAAGCCAGAAAGCTCTGGCCATAATCTCACCCAAACTACATTTGAGCGCTAGAGGATTCACTGTGAGCCAACAATTACTGTGGAATTCATTGCTTATTATTTTTTCCAGAGACTATGGCTTTTCTTCTCTTATCAAGATTTTTGTGCAGATGATTGTTCCAAAAGAGTTTGCAAGGATAACATACAAATGTGCAAAAGTCACAAATTATTTTCATGCTGATATAATTTAATGTTTTAATGAAGCCACTAAACAATGTGCAACAGGTAGCAGGACTTGTATCTCTGTAACTCATGATAATTAATTCAAGGGGTAAACAACTGGAGCATTGAATAATGTTGTCCTAAGGCTGAGCAAAAGGGAAAAAGAGGAATGAGAGAAAGAAATGTAAAGCCTGAGAGCTCTCAAACCATGTTATGGTGTCAGTCATATTTTGAGGGGACTTGCAGGAAGAAACAGCAACAAAATTTAGAAGAAATAAAAAATGAGTCCGTCTCCTTGTTATTTATTTGTTGCTGTCTTTTCATGACCACATGAAATTAGACATAGCAGCCCTCAGAAAAACTTGGTCTATGTACTGAGGGAGTCCATGCTTACTCAATTACCTGTACCACTCTGGATTGTGTTAGCTTTGTCGTCATTGAAGTCTCAATGTTGTCATCCTTCAAATCATTATTTCCCAATTTTCTAGAAAACATTTTCCTGGTATTTTCAGGAGAATGAATTGTCCTCACCCTAAAGTACTCTTCTTTCCAGTCACTGTCACCACCTTACAGAGGTTTACAATAGTTGCTTTCCCCTTCCCTTATGCTATCATCTCCCAATCTAATTTTGATCAAAGCTAGAGAATGCTACGTCATTTGGATCATTTTATCACTGTCTGCAGTGATTTTCCAGTTCCTGTCAGACTCTTTGACTCTAACCTTCCAGAGATGCACAATTTGTCTTTTAAACCTTTTAGCCAAATATAAGTTGAGTCATTTTGGAGCTTAGAGCTCCAACATAGAACCAAAATTTAAGCACGAACATATGGCTTTGATGTAGAATCACATTCCTGTTCCCTGTGTACTGTGTTCATCTCTGCTCATTACACTGTATTATTTCTGATGAGACTGCAACCAGACTCAAGAAATATCCTCTTTCTTGGAACAGTAGATCCATCCTTAGACTATTTTCTCTAGGTTCTCTTTGTTTCATACAAGAAGGGCCATGTAACTCAATCTACTCCTGTTTCCTGTAATTTTCACCTCTTTACTACCTTCCTTCTAAGATAAAAGAGATATGATTTTCATTTCCATAGTGGAAACTACTCAGTAAGAGTACAAGTGTATGTGGCTCTAAAAATTTTTTTAAAAAACACACTTGATACAATAAAATGGAATCTTACATGAAATAAAATAATTTACCATAGAGCTTTAATTATGATTCAGCTTACAAAATAACATGTACAAGCAAATGTTCAGTTATTAATGGAAGGAATGTATCTATAATTATGGCAGCAAGGTTCTGAAATCTTCATACCCTGTCCCATCAGCAGCAAGGAAAATTTTTAGTGACATAAATAATTAACACTGATAACAGGTTTTTCATGAAACAAAATTTGATACTCTTTCTTCCTATTTTGAAAGAGAAATGCTACCTCATCATGTAATGACTAGGCACCATTTAAAAAAAAAACAGCAAGCTGGGCACGGTGGCTCACGCCTATAATCCCAGCACTTTGGGAGGCTGAGGCAGGTGGATCACCTAAGGTCGGGAGTTCGAGACCAGCCTGACCAACATGGTGAAACCCCATCTCTACTAAAAATACAAAAATTAGCTGTGTGTGATGGCCGGCACCTGTAGTCCCAGCTACACGGGAGGCTGAGGCAGGAGAATTGCTTGAACCTGGGAGGCAGAGGTTGCAGTGAGCCGAGATCATGCCGCTGCACTCCAGAGTGAGTGCTGGGTGACAGAGTGAGACTCTGTCTAAAAAAATATGCCTATAGTCATAACCACTATCAGAACCAGCTATCTATCTTTTAGTATTCAGGTCCTTCCAGAGTCTTCTGGAATATAAGATAAAAATAGACAAGAATCTGCCAGGTAGAATATTTGAAATTGTTATACAATCCAGTCTACTGGCATCATGGAAATAAGTAATGAGATGCCTCAAATTCAGCCCAAAGGCAAACATTCTAGAAAAGGTTCATTTATAAGTTAAAAAATCTTCCCACATTTCATTATTAGCTTAAAGTTTAACACTACACTCATTACCATTAAACTCTTCCACAGTAACCACTGGGATATAAAAAGAGGGGAGGAAAAAAAATCAAACAATGTGGTGTTCATCTGCAATTCTGAGATGCTGTCCTTGTTGGGGAGTGTTAGCCAGTGACTTCGTCTTCTTTCTGAGGTGTTCTGGCCTCTCATGGACTCTTAGCCATTAGCACTGGAAAAGGTCCCCAGATAGATCAAAACACTACTGACGTCATATCAACAGGTATGTTATTTAGATCTATGTATTGTCTTCCCAAGATCTAGCTAAAAAGTAAAAATTAAAATATATATAAACAAATATCAAAATTACATAAAAGAATACAGAAAGACAAAAAGGAGAGGAATACAGACCAAGGTGGATTCAAAGTATCCTTTATCTTCAGACTTCTGTTGCTTAAACTGAGTTCTAGCATTTCTACATTAAAAAATCTGTTTTAAAACTTAATCCAGATACACAAAAGAGAAAACACATCTGCCGTTCTACCCACTTTATGCCAGCCCCTTTCCTCTTCTCTCCAGGGGAAGAGGAAATGCTAACCAGATTGATAAGGTTCAAAATACTCCTTTGGCCACACTTAAAAGTGCAAGAATTCACTATGCACTTAAAGTGCAATATCTGCACACAGATTCTCTCTTGGCCTTCTTTCTTGGGGCTGAGCATGTAAATCAACCTGGAATTGCCACCAAGGAAAGGCAGGGCCTTCCAGGCCTTTGGAAGCTGGTCATCGTTCTTACTACTGTAACTTGTGCTGCCCAGAGAGTGCTTAACATGCCAAAACAGATATTGGGGTAGGGGGCCCTGCTTAGGTTTACATGAATGCTTTTAAAATAAACACTGATAAATGGAGTGTGTCTGGAGGAAGGTAACCCTTTGAGAATCACTGATCTAGGATATGTGGATCAGATAAATCGCCCTGGATTAACTGCCCCTCCCCTTCTCTCCTCTTGAAAGATAAATTGTAATTCAAGGAGGCAGCCATGGATGAGGCAAAAATTGATTCTGCTGGCAAATCAGACTTGAGTCCTATGTATAAACATTCAGTCCGTAAAAGTGCATTCTTATCCTCATCCAAAAAGCTCAGCTGGAGGAACTGCTTCTCCTTCACTTCCCTGCACCATCCTCAGGTTATAGCCATTTCAGAAACTCCTCCTCATCAAGGCTGCCTGTTTTCTTCATAACTTAATAGCACTAGATAACAGAATTGGTAGAGCAGAGAAGGGGGCACACAGTATAAATTGCCCCAGATCCTGCACCCTCCACCTCACCCCAAAGGCTGCCCACTTCCTAGAACTAATTAGAAAAAGTTCAATAAATAATGCATTAGCCATCCTTTTGAAATTCTTCATGGGTCTGCAGCCATAGGTCCTGCTAAATTTTACACTTGATAAGCTAACCAATTCTTGATTTTATTTCAAAATTCAGAGGAATAAGGAAACTGCTTCTTTCTTTTCCAGGAAATTCATTTAAAAATTTGCACCTCACATACAATAATATCACTCATAGTAAGTCTGAAGCTGAAGAGAGGGGAGCAGGGTTTTCTCCCTAAATTTCATCCTACTAATCTTTGAAAATCCTCAGGTATTAATCTTAATTAATAGTATTAGTACTATCTCCCAGCTGGGCATGGTGGCTCATGACTATAATTCCAGCAATTTGGGAGGCTCAGGCAGGCAGATTGCTTTAGCCAAGGAGTTCAAAACCAGCCTGGGAAACACGCAAAAACCCTGTCTCTACCAAAAAAAAAAAAAAAAAAAAAAAAAGAGAGAGAATATATCTCCGTCTCACCAGCAGTAATGGAGGAAGAAGTCACAGAAACAAAAGTATTCTAAGATACAAGTATCAAGATATTCACTGCCACATTTTTAAAATGGCAAACACCTGGAATCAACCAAAATATCCAGTTTGACAAAGAAAACTATTTTTAAAAAACCTTTGGTTTTTTAAAAATCTGTGGCATTTTGGGGGGGGGGGGAGTATCTTCATGATATATACTTAACATTTTTTATTTAAACAAAAAAGATGGCTCTCTTGCTCCTATTCCCACCATGTGAGACATGCCTGCTCCCCCATCACCTTCTGCCATGATTAAAGGTTTCCTGAGGCCTCCCCAGCAGCCAAGCAGATGCCAGCATCATGCTTCCTGGAAAGCCTGCATAACGAGTTTGGCTCCTCTTTGCCATCTGGTCTCCCAATTATCTCCTGAGGTTTCTAGGACAGACTTCCACTGCTCTAGTGCATACTTGTAGAATGATAGAATGTTGAATGTGGACTGGCCCAGGAAATCTTCTCTTCTCTTCTCCAGTTTTCAAGAGGGGAATCCAAGACATCAAGAAGGAACTGGTTCAAAGTTATTGAGATGGTTCTCAGTGGAGACCTGACTCACCTTGAAACTCCTATAGCCCCTACACCAGAACCCAACATTTAAAACTAGGTGATATAGTCTATCTTGAGATATTCCTGTCCTTGTGCAGAGAAGTCAACTTGAGGAGTTTAATTTATATCCCTACTCAACTTCCAAGGCATTTCTTTGCTGATACAAGGTCTCTTTTAGATTTTGTATACTTCCATCCCCACTGACACTACAAAGAAGAGTCCTTTGGGGTCATCCTCATAGCTGTCACATTGGCATCTGCTGACCTTAGGTTTTTCTTTCACAATACTCTGAATTACTTCATTTACATTCTTTCAATCTTAACGTGTTCTGTTTTTAGTATTAAATGTCCTATCATCTGTATGCATTTTTGTGAGCATAGTTTTTAACATAGCAATAACCAGGAAAGACCTAAACAAGCCCAGTCAGCAAGTCAGCAGCCATGCTACACAGTAATTCAGGTTAGTGCTTGAAATGCTAATAGTAATTCATGTTAGTACTGTGTTCATTTAAATGGAATTGATATAGTTTTGGCTTAACTCTGTATTATTTTGGTGCTCAGCTCCACAAAAACTTTCCCCTTACAATTAATTATAAAAAGTTTTCAAAATATGAGGAATAATTGTATGAAGTATATTTTCAGTGTGGAAAGGCAAGAAGAGTTCATCTTCTATTCATCCTGAGTTGTCTGTCAATTGTCTCCTGTGAAGCCACCAGTCAGCTCAGGGATCTTGATTACAGGCTTGATTCTCAAGCCCTGAGAGCGGCTGATCACATGAAAACACAAGCTTTGGGTTCTAAACAAACCAGGCAGTAATTCTGGGAGAGTTTTAGAACCATTTCTGCATTGCAGACTGCTTCAATCACTTAACCCCCCACTTTTGTTTGTTTTAAGTGTTTCTTCTTATTTATTTAATTTTACAAATTAAAATTGTATATATTTATGATATATAGCATGATGTTTTGAAATATGTATACGTTGTGAAATGGCTACATCAAGCTAATTCACATATGTATTACCTCACATACTTATTAATTTGTGGTGAGAATACTTAAAATCTACTCTTACCAATTTTCAAGTGCACAATATATTGTTATTAACTATAGTCACCATGTTGTATACAATAACAGCCTCTTCAACAAATGGTGTCGGAAAACCGAAAAAAAAAAGAATGGCATGACCCCCAATGGGGTAAATTTCTTTAAGTGTGTGTGTGTGTGTGTGTATTTGTGTGTGTGTGTCCCCATAAAGGTATATCCATTCATTCAACAGACATGTACTATGATCTATTATGTGCCAGACACTGTTCTCTTCTAGATAGTATGGAAACAGAGGGGAAAAAGACAAATTCCCTTTTCTCATGGAGTTTGCTTGTGAGTGGAGGATAAAGATAATAAACAAGTAAACAGATAAATAAGATACTTTCAAGTAGTTATCAATGCTATAAAGAAAATAGAAGAGACTAATTGACAAATCACGTAGATAGGGTGAGCTAAGACCTGAAAGCCAGATTCAGTTGGGGAAGAGTCTTTCAGGCAGAGAAATTATCTGATTAAAACTCTCAGACAGCACAAAGCCGTTGAGGTGAAATATGGCCAAGGGAGATGACAGACAAGGAAGGAGTAGGCAGAGCTAGATCAAGAAGAGTTTTGTGAAGCTGGAGTTCAGGGGAAGGTGACCTAGAATGACTTACATATTTTTAGCAATGCGTAAACATACTCATGCTGGTCCCCTAGGATGCATTAGAAACAGCTAAATATTGAAGGAAAAACTTTTTCTTTATTTTTTAAAAATTACGTGCATACAATTTTTGAATGTTTAATGAAAAGTGTGCTAAGAAGAGGAGGTGGCAAACTAATCCTAAGAATTTCTGTGTGCTTCTACGTTGTTTAATGTGCGATACTTTTTTTTCTAAGCATACCTGTAATGTTATCCTCACCAGACTCTGGACAACGCTAATGTCATATTAACATCAACTAACATTTGCAAGCTTCTAAACTCCCCACCAATTCAGACTGAAGTTACTTTTTAAAGTTCCTCCCTCTCTTCCAGCCCAATCTGAACCAATTACTTAAACTCCCTGCACCCTAGCTTGGGTTTCTTTAAAGGAGAATAATATCTGCCACAGAGGTAATGAGTTAATGCACTTGTCCTCAAACAGGTGTATATTGAAACCGCACAGAAAGTTAATACATGACAGAGAGGCTCAGAGAAATAGAGTTAAGACTCAGCCCTCTCAATAAGTGGCAGTGTATGGTACTGTGTCTGCTTTAGCCTCCCTGTCCCCACCATGGGACAGTGATGTATTGGTGTCCAAACCTGCCTACGCTGTTGGCAGCATCTCCCAACACCACTGGCTGACTCAGCAGCCCAGAAGTAAGGACTAGGCTCTGGCATGGCAGCCATTGTGCCTACTATGAGAGCCATCACAGTTCCTGTGTCCTAGCCAGACTGACAGGACCGTACTAAGGCTCTGGCTCTTCCCTCTAGCTCAGAAGAAGAGCTGCATGGGATCTGGGTCCCCCAGTGCAGCAACCAGGCAAATACAACTCACAAGTCTGGAGAAGATTACATCCTGTGAGAGATGAGATAAAGAAAAGAACCAACAGATAAATTCCTTGCTTTTCTAGTTCCATCCCCTACTCTCTTGCCCACATCCTCAGCCCCAACCAAACCTTCACACTGGATGGATGGTTCTATGATCGGTCCCTAAAGCCATTTTCCAGGTCCCCAAATTCATGCCAAGCCAAAGTGCACTGTTAAAACTGGTTATGAAATATAGCAGACAAAGAGCATACCCTACACCCACGCACTCCAAAAAGTACGAAAGGCTGTGGAACACAGCCCACAAGACAGATATCTGAGAAAACAGAAACAGAGTCTGCTGGGTTGGCAGCAACCTCCTTGATACAACAGAGAGTCCTTGCCACTCTTGACCAACAGGGCTTGATATTTGCTGTGGACCAGTGACAGTTGGATGTTTTTCACTCTGTCCCTTTCCAAATGGAAGCTTATTCTGCAGTTTTTCCTGCTTTTTAATCATTGCATATGATTGTGTTGGGAACCAGTAACTTTTATTTCAGTTTACATGTCATCTGACCCTAGGGAAACACAAGGAGACCTGATGGAAAGGCATGAACAAAGATCCTGAACTTTGAGAAGAAAGTAAGAGAATTAGATAAACAGGAAGAAAAATGTGACATTGGTGCCAAAGAGGTGGATTATGAAAATTCTCTTTACCAGCATGATACAACCGTACTCTAGTTCCTTTATCTCTGCTTGCAATAGCTGCTATTCCTTAATTTTTTTTTAATATTTGCCACTCTGGGAGGTACAAAGCAATATGACAATGTTAATTTAGTTTTCATTTTTATGACTTCTAGTGCATTAGAGCCTCTTTTTAATATATTTATTGGCTATTTGGATTTGCTCTTTTGTGAACTGCATATTCATATCTTGTGTTTATTTTTCCACCAAGTTGTTTGGGATTTTTGGTCAACTTATAAGAGTTCTGTGTATATTAATTATAGTTATAAACCCTTACTAGGTCCATCATCTGCTTTGCAAATATTTGTTCCAAATCTAATAATTGTCAGTTAGCACATTGCTTACAGTTCCTTTTGCCATACAAAATTTTTAGTATTAAATTCTCAGATATATTAATCTTTAAAAATATCTTCCAGGATTCTTTAAATTCAGGTTTTTCTTTCCGCTAGATATTCTTCTAGATTTTTTCTAAAATTCTTATTTTAATTATTATATTTAAGTCTTTTAACTGAAATTGACTTTTGAATATGTGAGATGTAGGAATTCAATTCTTTTTCTTATAAAGGGACAGTCAGTTGTGTCAACACCAATTATTAAATAAACATTTTTTTCCCTAAATTGAAATAATAATGTCAACATCTTAAATTTTCATCTTTCCTGTTGTGGATGGACTATTTGTCTACTCCTATGCCAGTTCCACATGCTGGATTATGGTGGTTTTATGTTCTGATATCTGAGAAATCCTCCTCATTATTCTGCTTCTAGATACATGTATTTTTCTTGGCTATTTGTGAGTATATTTTTCTTCCAGCTGAACTTTAAAGTCATTGTATATAGTTCTAATAAACAAATCCAAGTTAGTATTCTAATTGGAATTGCAAGAAATATATTAATTGAGTTGAGATAATTAGCTTTTTTTTTTAGACAGCGTCTCACTCTGTTACCTAGGCTCACTGCAACCTCAGCCTCCTGGGCTCAAGCAATTCTCATGTCTCAGCCTCCTGAGTGGCTGGGATTATAGGTGTGTGCCACCATGCACAGCTAATTTTCGTATTTTTTGTAGAGACAGGGTTTCACCATGTTGGCCAGGCTGGTCTTGAACTCCCAGGCATAAGCATTCTGCCTGTCTCAGCCTCCCAAAAAGCTGGGATTACTAGCATGAGCCACCATGCCTGGCCTATAATTAGCTTTTTCATAATTAAATCTTATCCAAGAATTTGGTGTGCCTTTCAATTTGTTCACACCTTGATTTTTATATTGAAAATGTTATAGTTTTGTTCATGTCGATCCTTTATTTATTTTGTTAAAATTTTTGATGAATTGATTGCATTAATGACATCACAGGGAGACTACATTTTTCCATCTCATGTAACTTGCTTTGGTCAAAAGAATGCAGAAGTGACAGTATGCTATTTCTACTCCTAGGCTTTAATATGCCTTGTATGTTTCTGCTTGTTCTATTTTACCTTTCCCATAGCCATGAAAATAGCTTCTCCCATAGTTGCTGCCCCTTTAACCTGGATACAGGCCCTGAAACACAGTCATCTACCCAAGCCCAGCCAAGAATTATGGGTGAAAATACCTCATATGATGATCCATGCAAAGGTACCATTTGCCGTTCCCACCGTGCTCTTATGAGGAAAGCAGCTCCCTGTTTTATCTGCATGAAGTTGTTGTGACTTACGCCATATACATAAACTATAACAAACCCTGCCATTTTGATCACAGCAGATTGGAACAGATGTTGTAGTATATTATAAAGGCAGACAATGTAAGTTGATCATTAGGAAGAACTAATCCTTCAAGAAACTTGGAGTAAAACTGCCCAAGAGGGATGCTCTGTATCAGATGCTAACATCAACACAATCCATTCTTCTTGTTAAGGATGAAGTCATATGTACACAGAAGTGAGTCACCACAGCACGATAAGCAATTGCACGATAAGCAATTGCTCCATTTCTCCATGTAACTTGCTCACATGCCTATCTTGGAAGTGCTGAATATTCTCTTTGGGTCTGACCTATGAATGTCAACAAATCTCTACTTTCTCCACATGTCACTTGACTACTGTTTAGCCTTTTATTCTTCAACAACAGTAACTAATCTTTAAAAACATTTACCATATAATAACAAAAATAGTACTGAAGAGTTCCAGTATTTTATGTTTACATGTCTTATTTTGTTTAATCCTAATAAACTAATCTATAAGGTGCTTATTGTTGTCTCCTTTTTACAGATAAGGAAACTGAGGTCTACAGAGGAAAAAATAACAGCTTCGGTGTCACATAGGTTGTAAGCAGAGGAACTGGGCTACAAATCCGGATCTGTCTGGCTCCAAGGCCAGACTTCTACACTTCTATACAGCAGTGGTTCTCAAAGTGTGGTCCCCACACCAGCAGCATCAGCATCACCTAGGAACTTGTTAGAAATGCAAATACAGTCCCACCCAAGCATACTGAATCAAAAACTTTGAGGCTAGGGCCCAGGAATCTGTTTTAACAAATCCTCCTCACTAAGATTCTGATCCCTGCTCAAGTTTGAGAACAACTGCTGTATATCACACTACCTTTACATAATAATATTAAGGGAAGTAAATAAGTCTGTGAGCAGAAATTATCTGAAAGACTTCCTAAAGAAGGTATACTGTAAGCCAAGCCTTAGAGGATAGAGAGAATATAAGTTGGTATAAACAGTGGCACTGTTTCTAGCATTTATTCCTATCTTCTTTATGGTACTATGAACTTTGAAGGAAGTATAATACAATGCTCAGTTCAGTACTGATACATATATATACTCAAGGCATTTTGTTCAATGAATAAAATTTTTGATAAAGGGTACCTAAATATACCAAATATAATCTTGTTTCAGGCCTTAAGTGAAATTGATTTTTACACTTCTGGATAATCTATGTACAGCCAATTATATTTCAATGTTCTTATCTTTAAAGTCTATCTCGAACTCTTAAACCCCTCAGCACAAAGTGTTCAGGCCCTTATCTTATATGGCTCTCAGCATGAGTGCCACGTGCTTCTGTAACACTGTGAAGATAACACGGACAATTATGGTCAATTAGCTTTAACAAGTAGATTATTGCCTGAACAGTTGAAAGAAGACACATCAAATTTAGTCTTGTTAAATTGAGAATTTTTAAGAATGGGAGAAAAAAATTAAATCCTATGAAAAAGAAAAATAATACATTTTGTAGAATATGAGATATACTTCATTCATTAAAATCTGAAGTGGGCCCCATATCTAATATATAGAAGATTATAATTGGTATTTCCATTCTAATTCATACAATGCTAAAATGTTAAGATTGTGAATTCTCTTCTATTAGAGATAGTTCCATTGGTACAGATCACATAATAAAAATAATATATATTTATTTTTCATAGTAGCAAAGCCCTTGCCATAATTTTGATGAGCACTCTTTAGATATGCATTAGCACATAAATGCTTATATAATTTTGAATTCATAGAGTGCTCCCTAAAAGAATCTTATGTCCTAAAAACTTATACCCAAAATGGCCTGAATGATAAAAGACTTTTCACTGTGAGAAATGTGCTCCTCCCCCAAAAGCAATTGGGAAATGAGAAGCAACAAGCAAACAAGAGGCAGATAAGGCATGTCTTAATCAAATATATATATGGAGTCTTAAATATTCTTGCATACTTTTACATTCTTACATATACAGAAAGATTTCTTTAGGAAGATGGCTATTTTTGTTAATATATATATATGTGTGTATCATAACTTCCTCCAGGACACTTTAAAATACGGATCTAATTTGACGGAATCTAGACTGCCGGAAAAGAAGTAGTTCACAGCTAAGATAAATAAAATTTAAAGGACAGAGATCAATGTCTATGGAATTCAAAATGCTTTGAGCCAACATGTAAAAGCTATATTATAGCCTATTGCTTAGGACAGAGAAGTCATACTTACAGCAAATAAAAGCCTGATCCAGGCAGTTAAGGTTTATAATCTCCCTCCCTTCAGTGTGGGCTGGACTTAGTGACTTGCTTCTTACAAATAGAATATGGCAAAAGTGATGGCATATCACTTCTGAGATTTGTTTTCATAAGTTGTGGCTTTCATCTTAGATGCTGTCTCTCACTCCCTCGCATACTTGCTCTGAGAGAAGTCAGCTTGCTATGTTCAGGGCCCACATAGCAAGGAACTGAGGGAGGCCAACAGCCAATAAAGAACAGACACATAAGGCCAACATTCCAAGAGGAAGTGAATCCTGCCAACAACCACAGAAGGGAGCTTGGTAATGCATCTTTCCCCAGCCAAACCTCAGATGAGATTGCAGCCCTATCCAACAGCTTAGCAATAGCCTCACAAAAGACCCATAGTCAAGACTCATAGAAAATATGAGATAATGAATATTTCTTATTTTAAATCATTAAGTTTTAGGGATAATTTGTTAAGCAGTGGTAGAAAACTAAAACAAAGGATGATTTGGAGTCCTGAAGAGAAGCTAAAATAGAACTCACAACTATAGCTCAGCATTGACTCAAACTTGAAAAGGGGAATGTATTTTTGATGTGTGTAATGCAAAGGTCAATCCCTAGGTAAGAGAAAAGATCTTGAGACTCAGGTAGTAATGACAGCAGAAGAGATTGGAAAGATGAATCCAGGTTCTATATCCTTCTCAAGTAACCCAGTAAAATGAGAATTTACTTTTAATTTTCCTTAAAATATATGCCTCAAAATTCCTTTGTGAAATATAAACATTTGGTTGTACATTAGAATTAACTCTTCTGGACTATGTTAAAGAAAAAGGTAGGAAAATGGGGAACTGATATGGTTAGGTTGTGTCCCCACCCAAATCTCATCTTAAATTGTAACTCCCACAATTCTTACATGTCATAGGAGGGACCTGGTAGGAGGTAATTGAATCATGGGGGTAGGTCTTTCCCATGCTGTTCTCCTGATAGTGAATAAGTCTCATGAGATCTGATGGTTTTAAAAAGGTGAATTTCCCTGCACAAGGTCTCTCTCTCTTTATCTGCCGCCATCCATGTAAGATGTGACTAGCTCCTCCTTGCCTTCCACCATGATTGTAAGGCCTCCCTAGCCATGTGGAACTGTAAGTCCATTAAACTTCTTTTTCTTCACAGTCTCGGGTATGTCTTTATTAGCAGCATGAAAATAGACTAATACAGTAAATTGGTACCAGTAGAGTGGAGCACTGCTGAAAAGATACCTGAAAATGTGGAAGCGACTTTGGAACTGTATAACAGGCAGAGGTTGGAACAGTTTGGAAGGCTCAGAAGAAGGCAGGAAAATGTGGAAAAGTTTGGAACTCCCTAGAGACTTCTTGAGTAGCTTTGACAAAAGTGCCGATAGTGATATAAACAATAAGACTGAGGTGGTCTCAGATGGAGATGAGGAACTTATTGGGAACTGGAACAAAAGTGACTCTTGTTATGTTTTAGCAAAGAGACTGGAAGCATTTTGTCCCTGCCCTAGAGATTTGTGGAACTTTGAACTTGAGAGAGATGGTTTAGGGTATCTGGTGGAAGAAATTTCTAAGCAGCAAAGCAGTCAAGAGGTGATTTTAAAGCCATTCGGTTTTATAAGGGAAGGAAAGCATACAAGTTCAGAAAATTGGCAGCCTGACAATGAGATAGAAAAGAAAATCCTGTTTTCTGAGGAGAAATACAAGCCGGCTGCAGAAATTTGCATAAGTAATGAGGAGCCAAATGTTAATGGGGGAAATGTCTCCAGGACATGTCAGAGGTCTTCACAGCAGCCTTTCCCATCACAGGCCTTGAGGCATAGGAGGAAAAAGTGGTTTCATGGGCAGGTCCTAGGGTCCCCATGCTGTGCGGCGCCTAGGGAGTTGGTCCCCTGTGTCCCAGCCACTCCAGCCATGGCTGAAAGAGGCCAATGTAGAGCTTGGGCCATGGCTTCAGAGGGTGCAGTCCCCAAGCTTTGGCAGCTTCCACATGGTATTGAGCCTGCGAGTGCACAGAAGTCAAGAATTGAGGTTTGGGAACCTCCGCCTAGATTTCAGAGGATGTATGGAAATGCCTGCGTGCCCAGGCAGAAGTTTGCTGCAGAGGTGGGGCCTTCATGGAGAACCTCTGCCAGGTCAGTGCAGAAGGGAAATGTGGGTCAGAGCCCCCACACAGAGTCCCTACTGGGGCGCGGCCTAGTGGAGCTGTGAGAAGAGGGCCACCATCCTCCAGACCCCAGAACGGTAGATCCACTGACAGCTTGCACTGTTCACCTGGAAAGGTCACAGACACTCAACTCCAGCCCATGAAAGCAGCCAGGAGTGAGGCCATGCCATGAAAAGCCACAGGGATGGAGTTGCCCAAAACAGTGGGAACCCACCTCTTGCATCTGTGTGACCCAGAAGTAATACATGGAGTCAAAGGAAATCATTTTGAAGCTTTAAGATTTGAGTGCCCTGCTGGATTTTGGACTTGCATGGGGCCTGTAACCACTTTGTTTTGGCCAATTAGTCTCCCGTTTGGAATAGCTGCATTTACCCAGTGCCTGTACCCAATTGTATCTAGGAAGTAACTAACTTGCTTTTGATTTTACAGGCTTATAGGCAGAAGGGACTTGCCTTGTGTCAGATGAGACTTTGGACTGTGCACTTTTGAGTTAATGCTGAAGTGAGTTAAGACTTTGGAGGACTGTTGGGAAGACATGATTTGTTTTTTAAATGTGAGGACATGAAATTTGGGAGGGGCCAGGGTGGAATGATATGGTTTGGCTATGTCCCCACTCAAATCTCATCCTGAATTGTAACTCCCACAATTCCCACGTGTTGTGAGAGGGACCCAGTGGTAAGTAATTTAATCACTGGGGCAGGTCTTTCCTGTCCTGTTCTCATGATAGTGAGTAAGTCTCACAAGATCTGATGGTTTTAAAAAGGGGAGTTTCTCTGCACAAGCTCTCTCTCTGTTTGCCAGCTGCCATCCATGTAAGACATGACTTGTTCCTCCTTGCCTTCCACCATGATTTTGAGGTCTCCCCAGCCACGTGGAACTGTAAGTCCATTAAACCTCTTTTTCTTCCCAGGCTTGGGTATGTGTTTATCAGCAGTGTGAAAACAGACTAATACAGGAACTATAAGAGGAAGAAAAAAAGACTAGAGAGACATTTGACCCTACAAGGTTAGCCTTTGAGAGAGAAAGTTTCCTACTTGGGCTTTCTTAAAAAAAAAAAAAAAAAAAAAAAAAAAAAAGACTCACTATAGCACTTATTTTGTAGTACAATTATTGGTTTATCTATCATATGTACCAGACAAAGAGAAACTTGGATAGAAATTGGGCCTTATTTAGATATGTATTCTAACACATTTTTCAGGGTAGAACAAAGTAAGCATTTATGTATTTAGTGAATAGCATTTATGTATTTAGTGAATAAATATATCAGTGAGTAACTCTAATGGTTAGGGTTCCTTATTATGGTGTCATATTGAAAGTATCAGATTACACAGAATGAGATATCTCAATTTAAGAGATAACTTAAGAAGTTCTTGGTTCCATTTAAGATGGTGTTAAGCCTGCTACACCCTAACTCTCCTATCGTACATCATTGAGTTTACCAGCTTAGACATCAGGGCAGCCCAAATCCTAGAACTGTGCAGCAAGTGTGGGCAGGAAAATCTCCAAAAGAAGTATTATTTTTATTATATCAGAAGACTGGGTAGAAGCATGCCTGAGAGTGTGGAAGAAATCTCTGGGTTTTGGTTTATTTATTTATTTATTGTTTTCTCTATTCCAGCCCTACCCCAAAGTAAGCCCCCATGTGAGGGCAGTGACAATGGTGGTTATACAGATGCCAAAAAACCACAGAAAAAGCACTTATCTATAGCCAGAAGACCCAGGAAAGAGCCCTCTGACCACCCCTGAAGGGCGTGGCAAAAAGTCAGGTTATTCCTCTTTCCTCTTGCCACTGTGTGGCAAATAAAGACTCAGTTATAGGAAAGGCACAACAGTGTGAGAAGGCTAAAACTCAGAGAGAAACTGCAGCTTTCTAGCCAGAGAACTGGGATAAGAGATGCCTGGAAGCTGGGGAAATCACAGAAGAGGTGAAGTGCTGAAGGAATCACAGAAGAGGTGAAGAGCTGAAGAAGAAGATTCTGTAAATTTGTGTACCTCTGTATGAACTGACAGAAGTCTTAGGCTCACCCACAAGATGAACATGCTCAAGACAGGCCAAAAAGAGCAACATGAAGGCTTTAGAACTGACCTAGAGTGTAGACTCCACAGAGGTCCCAGACTGGCACCCAGCGGCACACACATGGGATAGATACAAACAGCTGTAAAGTCTTTAAAAACTGAACCACTGCCTACAGAAGGTAGTCAGAACATGTAGTCTAAACGTCTCTGGGTTGATTATCTACTAAAGCAACCAGAACAACAAAACCAACAATTTCCAGGAGATTTTTACATGACCACAAGGCTCATAACATAACACTCAAAATTTTCGTGATAAAATCCAAAGTTACTTGGCATATAAAGAACCAAGTAAATCTAAATGGATCATAAGAAAAAAGCAATCATGAAATGCCAATTCCAAGATGCCAGAGGTTGGAATGATCGGACAAATATTTTAATTCAGTTATTATAATCATCTTCAAGTATAGTCATCTTTTGCTAATGTGATTGTTGTAATAAACTGTCTTTCATCTTTGACCTGGAGGCTTCATGTTTTTCTGCCAGTATCTATGAAACTGTGACAGACAAACTTGTTAGTTGACAAGTACAGTAAAATCTTCACAATTCCTGACATGAGAGTTTAACAAACATCAAAAATGAAAGAAAGAATATATCACAATTCCTGACATGAGAGTTTAACAAACATCAAGAATGAAAGCAAGAATATCACCACAGGTCCTAAAGATATTTTAAAAAATAACAAAAGAATACTACAAAAAAATGATATGTCCATTAATTCAACAACATACACGAAATAGACTAATTCTTCTGTCTTTCACACAAAAAGGATTCAGTACTATATAAAAAGGACAGTACACCTAGCCAAATGTGGTTTGAGAAATGTAAGACTGCTATAAAATTTGAAAATCAATCAGTGTAACTCACCATATTAACAGAACAAAGAAGAAAATATACAGATCTTTTCAGTAGATGAAGAAAAAGTATTTTACAAAATTTTATGAAAGATTTTCATCCATCTAGAATAGTAAAAGTTTGTCTTAAAGCAAATGAAAAGATTAAAGAATACAAGATCTCTTGTTAACCAATAATTATGCAAATTTATTTGATTATATAAACACTTTCACAGAACCAAGAACCATGAGATGACTATTTTAGATAAGAAAGCCTCTGGGCCAAAAGTAGGAACCCTTAGAAACCATCAAAACCTTGAAATCTGCTCTGAATACACTCACATTCCATGGACACTGACAGCACAGGACAATGATCAGGAACACAGACTCTGATGCCCAGCTGACTGGGGTCCATCCTGGCTCCAATATCCGTCCATCTGCCAACTTTATAATCTTGGGGACACTCAAGTAACTTTTTGGTGCCTATTTCTTTTTTTTTCTTTGTGTGTGTGTGTGTGTGTGTGTGTGTTTATTTTTAGTGGAGACGGGGTTTCGCCATGGTGATCAGGTTGGTCTCAAACTCCTGACTTCAACTTATCCACCTGCCTTGACTTCCCAAACTGCTGGGATTAGAGGTATAAGCCACCACTCCTGGCCTAGTGCCTGTTTCTTAATTTACAAATGGAGATAACAATAGTGCCTAACTTATAGGACTGTTGTGAGGATTAAGGGAGTTAAAACATATAAAACCCTTAGAGCAGTTGTTCGGGAGGCCTTGAACTCTGCAGAAAACAAGGCAAATGGATAGCATTGTTTATTTACTCTTGGGCCCGCTCCTTCCTTTTCCACTCCCTCTAATCATAGTGAACACTTACTGACCTCTTATAATGCAGCAAGTGCTATACTAAATGATGTACATTCATTATTCCATTTAATCCTTCCAATATCCTTGTAAAATAAGTACAATTATTATTTACATTTTTCAAATGAGAATATTGGATTGATTCACTTTATATAGAGACAGAAGTACAAATACAAACATACACACACAAATCACCATTTAGGTTATCATCATGTCTTACTTTTATTTATGAGTCTTTCTGTCTTCTTGGGTAATCTTTTATGTCTGGCTCATCCAGTATATATTAATTTTGTAGTTTAAATCTCTAAGAAAAAAACCTCATTTCATTATGGGTGGCAAACTACTATTTTGCTCACATACCACCTACCTGATTATTGACTACTTTTTACTTTAAATATGTTATTTTATAACTTTTTCCAAGGGTGTAGCTATTTTGGCCTAGCAATGGGCATACTGTGGTATGTGTACAGAAACCCGAGCCAGCAGGGTGCTTACTGCACCCAGGAGTAGGCATTCTTGGAGTCAGTGTGGGAACAGATTTCAGTCATGTCATCATGTATTAATAACAGAAACACAGTATTAATGAACAGATCAAACTCTCCCTGATGGTTTGAAGCAGACCTGACTCTTTTGGAATGTTTTCTTAGAAATAAGTTGATCAATTTTTTCTGTACTTTATGCCAATGGCTGTGTCAGCATGGCTGATTTGGAGGCTAATTATGTGATTTTTATAGCTATTCTGGGAAAACATGAACATACTGGAAATAGAATGGGGGAGGATATGAGAGTGTTGACCTAAAAATGGAGACAAGCCAGAGTGTTAATGATTTCCATGCTGTTCAGCAGAAATCATCTCCCATGGTCTCTGTTGATAGTTTGCATCTAGGGATGACAGATTTCCAAAATACGGTTACTTAAGAAGTGATTATAGGAAGTCATCTCTTCCTGTCATTAAAAAAAAAATAAATCTGGGGCTGGGCGCAGTGGCTTATGCCTGTAATCCCAGCATTTTGGGAGGCTGAGGCGGGCGGATCACGAGGTCAGGAGATCAAGACCATCCTGGCTAACCCGGTGAAACCCCGTCTCTACTAAAAATGCAAAAAATCAGCCGGGCGTGGTGGTGGACGCCTTTAGTCCCAGCTACTCGGGAGGCTGAGGCAGGAGAATGGCATGAACCCAGGAGGCGGAGCTTGCAGTGAGCTGAGATCACGCCACTGCACTCCAGCCTGGGCAACAGAACGAGACTCCATCTCAAAATAAATAAATAAATAAAAAATAAATAAATAAGTCTGTGGTCTACTTTAAAATAGATCATTATTGGGCTGGGTGCGGTGGCTTACGCCTGTAATCCCAGGACTTTGGGAGGCCAAGGCGGGTGGATTATGAGGTCAGGAGATGGAGACCATCCTGGCTAACACAGTGAAACCCCATCTCTATTAAAAATACAAAAAATTAGCCAGGCATGGTGGCACGTGCCTGTAATCCCAGCTAATTGGGAGGCTGAGGCAGGAGAATCACTTGATCCCAGAAGGTGGGGAGCTTGCAGTGAGCCGAGATCATGCCAGTGCACTCCAGCCTGGGTGATAGAGCGAGACTCTGTCTCAAAAAAAAAAAAATCATTATTACCCAACAAACATTTTATTGACCAAATTTTTGCCTTAGTCCTTATGTGAAGGAAGTATAGTAGATTTCACATAAGAAAAATTAGATGTAAGAACATAATAATCTCAGGCAGTCCTTCAAAATTAAACAGGAGGAAGAGGTGGAAGTTAGGGAGCGATGAGAACAGAACTATTTATGAGAGTTAAGGCATTGAAACCGTTCATTTAAGTAGCTCCTTCTCATTCCTAAATTAATATACAGGTGACATCAGGTAAAACTATATATCTATATCCTTTAAAATAATTTAACTGTTGAATTCATTAACAATCATTACATGTGAAAGAAAAACCGGCTCAAATTGGCTTTAACGATAAGGGTATCTATGTCATCAAAGACTCAGTTTCTCTCCATCTCTCCATTTTGCCTTGCATAATATAGGCTTTATCCTCAGAGTCTACATAGTGGCCTTCCTGGGAGACTTTAGGGTTTTCCTGATGGTGACCACAATAAAACCAACTTTCAAGCTATACCTCAACATCTCGGAGAAAAGAGATATCTCCCCTGGCATTTTCCATAGAATAGAATTTTTTTTACCTTTCTTTTCACAAGATAGCTCAGTAATATCACCTTAAATATCATTGTTCTTATCCAGTTACGCACATAGGTCTGCAACAATCACTGTGGTCAGAAGGATGTGATAAACGGATTGGCTCAAACCAGCACGGACCACATATTCTACAACAGATGTGTGACGGACTCAGCTCTGCACTTACGCACCTCCAAGCCTTGATTATCAGATCATGTCCTTCTTCCCTAATGTTTAATTTCTCTTTGGGGGACTTTGAGGACATTCTGTCATTTGTCCTCCATCAGAACTAACACAATCCATTAAAGAGGTGCAGTAATATTGGACCTCAAAAGAAAAGCACTTGCTATTTCAATTTCTACTCTCCCAGGATGTGTCTCTTCTATATAAATTACTCACCTCAGTGATCAGCTCTGCAATACCAAGGGGTCATGGGAGAGATTGTTCATGTAACGCCACATTTCCTCCAAAGAAATTGGTAGCTATTGGCTTTTCTTTGTGTAACCTTTACTCCGAACATAAGTTAATGACCTACCTCTTAAAAGAAATTAGGCGTGTTCACTTTTAACCTTTGTATAAATAGAAAAAAAATAGGGAAAGAGAAAAGTGGATAAGTCATTACTGTACAACTAATTTTCACAAAGTGAACACACTTTGTAATCAGCACTGAAATAAAGATATAGAACATGATCACTGGCCTAATAGTCTCCCCCTCATATACCCTCCAAGTTACTGAAACCTACCCACCAAGACTAATCAATATCCTGTCTTCTAATACTGTAGACTGGTTTTGCCTAGACTGACTTTATATAAATGGAATTATACATAGTATCTGTTAATCTCTTCCCAGTTTCCATAGCTCAACATTATATTATTTTATACAGTTATAGTTTCTTTTATTCTTGTGTGAGAAAGAAAAATAACTGATGAATATATGAGTTCACTTAGAGAAATACACAGGAGGGCCTTCAAGTAATATAAACTTCTTCCAAAGAAGTAGCACTAAGCCTCATTCTAGAGCTCCACAGGCTGCTAGGTAGTAAGATGATAATGAGTGCAGGCCACTCTGTTCAAAGCAGTGATAATAGTTAACATTTATTAAGTGCAGCCAGAAACTGTAGTAAGTGCTGTACATGGATTATTTTATTTAATCCTTACAACTCTATGATGTTTGATGTTTTATAGACTGAAGAAATTGGAGCTTTAGAGAGGGTATCAGATTTGTCTAAGGTCATGGGGCATGATACAGCTTGGATATGAATCCAGAAGGTGTCTCTGGAGTCCAAGCTCTTTGCCATACAGCCATGCTCTTCTGTGAGATACTAAGTGACATAACACTTTCCAACCATTCAATCCAAAGTACAAATTTATCTCCACTACACTACAGATGCTACTTCACATCAGTAATAAAAATAAAAGGAAAATTGTCCTAGATGAATTTCCACTGGTGTTAAAATAATGCCTGTAATTTCAAAGATGATATTTGATTAAATCAATCAACTTATTAAATAACTTATAGCCTTCGTTTTTTATCCTATAGTGGACATTTCCTCTTTCTTCCTCCTCTTAGTATACCACAATTCTCACTTCAATATCCTCCTCCACCCATTCAGTCCATGAGTATTGGTATATACTGATGGGTTTAAGCCAAACCACCCACCCCATCACCTGGTCACAGGAATTAATACAGAGAGGGCACATAATCCAATTCAGGCCAATAAAACAAGAGATGTTTGCTGGAGGCTTTTGGGAAGAAAGCTTCACTATTCTCCTACTGAAGCCTCATTGAAGAGATAATCTTGATCCTTCTGATCAGTAGGACATTTGAATGTGAGGCCTAGAATTGCAGCTGTTTTGCTAGCATAAGAGAAGTCAGCCTGAAGATGAAGCCAAGATATGGAGGAAGGAAGAGCCAAGATAATCACTCATGAATGAGGAGCCCTGATAAAACCATTCCTGAAATCCCCCTCCCAATGTTTCAATTTAAATATTACATAAAGTTTCAAAACTATAATACCAGGGCTATATATGATGAATTTACTCAGTTGCCACTTCCAGTAATATCTCTCAACCATCAGCCACTTAACTGCCCTGCTGGTAAAGTGATACTGTCTATTTCTTCTGTAAAACAGACTTACTAAGGCCCTTGTCACACTGAACACCCATGTCTAATACTCCTCTGCTTTACACCCACACACTTGTGTGCCCATCAGTTAAAGTGTGTTGTCACCAAGTCAGTTGGGTTTGCTCAAACCTGTTTACTCTATTTGAGCATATTATTATAAATATGTAATTCAAATAAAGATCTCAAAAATCAATGAAATATAATTTTTAAAGTTGTTTTAATAAAAACTAACTTAAATGTTTTAGAGAGGATAAGTAATAGAATCATACTATCTCTTAATCATTTTAGTGATTACTGTCATTGAATTAAGTGTTAGCCAGGCACTCCTAAAGATAAGTGAAAAAAAATTACCATAATATAGGAGCTTTCTCCCAGTTTAATACACAAGTATTTTAAACTTTCCATTCCGTTTTAAAGAAGCATAGGTGATAACTATTGTGTATATACATTATATACATATATATGTAAATATATATATAGTAATATATAATGTAAAATATATACACATATGTATTTTTGAGTTGGGGGTCTCGCCAGTCACCCAGACTGCAGTATAGTGGTGTGATCATGGCTTGCTGAAATATCAAACTCTTGGGATCAATAAGTTTGATCCTCCTACCTCAGCCTCCTGAGTAGCTGGGACTACAGGTTTTAAAAAATTTTTTTAGACATGGGGTTTTGCTATGTTGCCCAGGCTGCTCTTGAACTCCTGGCCTCAAGCAACCCTCCTGCCTTTGCCTTAACTATACCTTTTTAAGTTTGAATTACATATATAACATATTAAATTTAAGGATATTCTGTAAATAAAAAGAAAAAATATTAAGAAAAGATTCTAGGTTGTTAGTCACATTGCTGATTAGCCAAGCAGCATCAGTCCTAGTTGTGTCAGGTAAGTACATTTCCACCATTGTTCAAAAACAAGTAAGGTTGTCCATATACCTCTTTCCGTCCCCAGCAAGTATCTTAGGCCCAAAGTGAGATGCAGCAACAAAGTGTGGATTATTACAATTAAATCCAAGCTTATATTGAAAACAATGATGACTTATGGAGTCATGCTGTCTTTTATTATATGTCTAAGAACTGGAATGATATCTCTTTCATAATAGGTGATAAAAATTTCTTTTCAAATAAATATTTTGTTTAGAAGTATGCTATTTTTATTAAAGACTGCCATTTAAGCAGCTGGACATCAGTAAATCATTGAACTTTTAAATCATTCTTCATATTGTACCCTAAGGGGTCTGAGATTTTTTCCTTACCACTTTTTCAAAAAACTAAAGTAGGACAAAAAGCCAACAAAAATGTCTCCTACACATTTACTTTTAATTATATTCAGCCTCATTTTTAGTCATTTGTTTTACCTGGAAATAATCTTTCTAGTGTACTAATTGTTCCAATATACTAAAGGTTCTAATCTCAATGTAATTGTCTCACTTAATATTGAACTATTAAATAGCCACACATTGGTTTGTCTGTATTTCCAAAAAGGTTTCATTTAATTAATTTTTACCCTGAAAGGTAAGGGTACATATAGATAGTAACATTTACTACCATGTACAAATTGCTAAAACAGAACGCTTTTCCTTTATTGTTTTTATCATCTATTTTATGTATTTGCTTTTTCCAATTTATTTAAATAAATTAAACACTTGAGTTAAAATTTTAACTTCTGGGATAATTTTCAAAGTAACTAAGATAATATAGAATAGAATATGAAAAAAGGCAGCTCCTTTAAAGGTAACAGTATAATTTATATTCCTGTTCACATTTTTTCCTGGTTATCTAGAGTTACAAATACATTTGGACTTTTAAAAATATATCATTAAAATTTGTCTTTAAAATCTATGCTTCTCAAAAGATTTATATATGCTTCCTATTTCTACCTCTATACCTCCCATACACATTTTTCAAACTCCTAGAATCTGGCTTCTGCCCCATCACTATCATCACCAATGAGCTGTATGTCACTAAACTCAAATAATATCTTTCAGTCCTCAGATGTCTCAAAGCCTTCAACATTTGGACCAATTACACTCTCTTTCCTTGGATTTTTTGACTCCACATTCTCCTGTGATCCTCGACCTTTCTAACCACTCCATCTGTGTCTGTCTTCTTTGCAGGCTTATTCTCTTCTACCTGGCCATTAAATGTTGAAGTTCCCTCAATATCAGTCCTAGGCTGTCTCTTCATCTCACTCCTTACTTTGTTTCTAGGAAATTTCACATTCACACAGTGGTTTCAAACTGCCTATTACACCCATCCTTACACACAGATGGATTGCAAATTTATATCTTTGGCCTGGACAAATCATCTAAGCCCCAGACCCAGTTTTCCAATGTCTAATTGTGTCAGACACTGAGAAGCACTGCTTAGACCTCACGCCTTTCAACAAATGACCCATCATTCAGCTGCAAATAATGTGATGAGCTGACAGAGCTTGACTATTGGCTTCATCAGGGTCCATCTCAGGTTTCAAGACAGTCAAACTCCTCAGGAAGGCAGTGATGGTGGAGCAAGGTTCAAGGCCTAACCATGTCCACACAATCCAGGTCTCCTCTAACAGACAGTCTTTGCCCCACATTACCCACTGGACTTTGGGTAGTCTTTGCTCCAAACTACCCACTGGACAGAGACTTGTTGTCAGCTCTGCATCATCAACTGATGGTTCCCCTGCCCAATCCTCTTCCTTCCACTTTTCTTTCAGAAATGTTACTCCCCAATAAACCTTTAAATTTCTAACTCCATCTCAGCATCTGCTTTCTGGAAAACTCAATATTTTGTACTAGGAGTCATCCATGAAAACCTATATGGATAGACACGGGAATGGGTACAAAGAGTAAATATCTTGGTAGCACATTAACAACCACTGGAAAGCCCACTGTGGAAAAGGGACTACACAACTTAAGCAAAATGAATTGACTGATTGGTGGTAGCCTGACTCTCAGCAGCCACTCCAGTGCTGGCTAATAGCTCTAGCGACAAGTAGTCAGGGTAGTCAAGATGGAGGCTATGCATGGGTCCTACACCATAGATTCCCATGACTACCTCTGAATGTCTTACCTGCCAACAACAGAGAGCAAAGCTGAGTCCCTAATATGGTACTAGCCTTTGAGGGGACCAACTGGCTACTTGGCAGCAAGTTGAGTATATTGGACACCTTCCATCCAGAAAGGCAAGCAATTCTTTTTCATAAGAATAGATAGACACCTGTGAATTTGTTTTTCTGTCCTCAAAGACTCAACCAGAACCACTATCCCTGATCTATAGGCATAAAATCTCACACAACACAGCATCTGACCAGGAAACCCACTTTATAGCAAAGGAAGTACAGGGATGGGACAATAAGCATGAGATATACTGGCCATATCACATAACTTGCCACTCAGAAGCTGTCGGCCAGATAACATAATGAAATGGCCTTCTCAAGGCACAGCTGAAGCATCAGCTTGTAGGCAATGTCCTTTAGAATGAGGCACCATTTTTCTAGGACACAATATTGGTTTTGAGTCAGAGATCTTTACATAGTTCTGTGTCCCAAATAGAAAAGAATACAAGGGTTCAGAAACCAAGTGTGGAAAAAGAAATGGCCTCAATTTCCATTATTCCCAATGACCTACTGGGGAACTTTGAGGCTTTCCATCCTCTCAACCCTGGGCTCTGTAGGTAGCACACTCTTGCCAGGGGACACAACAAGGATCCTCTTGAACTAAAAGCCACAGACACCACCTGGGCTCTTGCACCTCTTTGTGTCTAGGGAGCAGCAGGCTTGAAGAAGAGTTACTTTAGCATCACAAGTAAATGACCATAATCTGCAGCAGATGTAGAGTTCTGTGACGCATTCACAGCAAGGAGGAATAAATGTGAAACTCGGGATCCACATAGGCGCGCCTTTTGGTTTCTCTCTTCTCCAATTATGACTATGAAGAGAGAAGTGCGGTAACCCTAGCCTGAGAGGAATATGATTACCAGCAGCTCTGACCCCTCAGGAATGAGAGGCTACCACCAGGTAGCTCACGAAGAGTAGCGGAAATGCTATCTGAGGTTGCAAAATTATTCTAATAGAGAAAAGTAGTAAAAGAATTGAGTCATCAAGTAACAGGCATACTAAATTCAAAAAACCTATACTAGATGGGTCAGTATTATATTTATGTTGCAAATAACAATTTACTTTCAGTAAAAGAGCAGCATCTTTCTCACTAAGTCTTGTTAATGTGAACTTATTTGGTTTTGTTAGATATTTTTGTATTTAATTTGTAAATTTACTTTGGGTTTGTGAATGTGTATCATCTACATACATAAGGAACTTCAACCTAGTTTTATGGTTATATTTATACAGTAACATTTGTCATCACTGGGAATTCATGAAAACTGGTTTCTTCAAAAGAGATTTATTTATAAATTACTGGGGTTTGAGAAAACACTATGCAACATTAGTACTTGAATGACTGGCCCAGTCTCCTTAAATTTTCTCTGAATCAGAATAGGGTCAGCTTGGAGCCTGAGCTAAAACAGCTCTTCAATAAAAATTACATGGCTCTGGGGTCATACATTGGAAGGCCAAAAAAAGAAAAATGCAGTGGACAAATCCTAGTCTAGCTTTTGCCCTGGTGAGATTTTCTGATCCTAGTCAAACAAAAATGATATTTGACAATTTGTTACCATAGAATGATTGCTACTCAGCATGGAAAGTTTAACTTTTTCAACATGAACAAAATTAGATCTGTTCTTGCAGCCATCTCACATTGACTTCTTTCATGTTCATGTTTAAGAGTTTCATCCAACTCATTTCTGACAGCAAACCTAAGTGTGTTCTCCCATGTGACTTGGAATGTGATTATTTCAAAAATGCAAATAGTACCATAATCATCAACAAGTTTTCAAATATTCTATTCAAATAGAGTATCAAATACTACCATCAAATACTCTTTTGCACTTAGGTTGTGGGAAACTGAAGCCTAAACAATTTAAGTATGGTCATAAAATGTCACTGAATAGCATGTCAGCAACACCAAGCTCAATATTTTGGCAATCTAAAAACAGTATAGATTATGACACTGAAGAAACTGGGTGGGGGTCTAAATAAAACAAGACAGTCACAGTGACTAGAACAGTTGTATTTTGATTCCGATATTTCTATAGAGAAAGGCTGAATAAAAAGAAACCACCTAGGTTTATCTTATCAATATGGAATCTGGAATTTAGCAAAACTCAGGGAGGTTGCTTAAATTAAGTAAATAAACACATTAATTTCCTACTTTTTCATCTAACTTGGTGAGAGAAAACCCAAGCCCCAAACTTCAATAGTAACTGACAGAGATCCTTGCTCAGAACAGTACTTTTAATATCAAGAGGAACAAATAAACTTTAGGATCTGCAGAATAGAAGCGACAGAGGCTGTCATCAGACCTAGCTCTTTTTCCAGAAAAAGAAAACAAAAGAGCTATTTCTGGCAAACTGGTGCTGAATTATTTTGCTAAAACAAACAAACTCGATTAATTAGTTGATTAATAAGTCAATTTAATTACATTAAGATAAAAAATGAAAAAGAAACAAAACTTTTAAAGGACACCTGTCAGGAAATCCTTTCTTTTATCTAATTTCTCATGTGTGTTCATAATATCCCTATGTTTCCTGCTGATACTTTCACCCCAAAATGGAGGCAGGAAGGAGATTGTGAATGTGTATGAATACCAGTGTGCCACTAATATTGATACACTTAATAGAGAGTTACATGGATGAGAAATCTGAAGAAAATGTGCTCACAACATGGCCACAATCTGGAGGGAGATGTCTAGGGAAGATTGCCTAGCTACTCATTTAGCTCCCCTCCGGATGGCATTAACCTTACTGAATTCCTCACAGCCTCAGCTCTCAGCCTGGAAAGCTCATAAACCTGTCTGTCAGTTCAGCAGGCAGTATCTCATTAGACCAGCTCACAAAGACTGACGTATAAACGCAAACTCAAGTACGCTAATTTGCAAAGGAATGCATTTACTGCTACTCAATCTCACAGCCTACACCTTCTTTACCTATAGGAGCACTATATGAAAAGTTAAATTACGATCAAAAGGTTTCTTGGTAACCATAACCTTGGAGTGAGTATTGTCATTTTTCTGCTGTCTCTGCACCAAGGTCTCTTGTCTCGAGATACATTCAACTTTTGCCCCTGTGATCTTTCTCTTTCTGAAATTTCAGGGCTAACCAAGCTCCCATACCTTCTGGCTGACACATTCTTTCTTTAGCTACTAAATACATTCAATCAGGTTACAGTTCAGTGTTACCCGCTGGGAAGCCATTGTTCCTATTTAGAGAAGATTTTCCTATTCAATGCTGTGATCCTTTTAAAACATTAATTCTCAACAGGCAATCTAAAGTCTTTCTGAGGAGGAAGGGAGCTCACCTTCACCCCCAAATATTCATAGCACATTGTAATCTTGAATTTTAAAAAATCCTCTTTCTTTAGCCTCCCTTACATGTCTCCGAAGTGTCATTTGGATAGAATTCTGTTTTAAGCAAAACTACATTTAAAAAGGGAAGAGAAATAATTGGGAAGTGTTAGTTAGTACTTAGAAGTGGGATACCAGTTTACTTTAGCCATAGTCAGTCCTGAGACCAATAGGTCAAAAGCTCAAAAGTGTACACAAGGTGAAAGTAAAGACAGGGAAACCAAGAAGAGTCAGAAACTAGAAAACAGAAGTCATGATCCATAAATAGCGAAACCCAGAACATAGAGTCAATCAGAAAACTAGTGCAGGCAGGAAGGGAAAGAGTCAGAGCAGGATTACAGCTGCCCCTCTGGACGGTTCTAGGGGCACTTTTCAGGTCACCATCTATGTGAATGGTGCCTGCTGGAGTTTTGCCTGCACACGCATAATGTTTACAGAGGCCCTGGAGAGAAGAATTAGATCAGAGGCCTAGATAGTCAGGAATAAATGAACTGAAGAAGAAGGGCAAAACAGGCAGGTCAGAAGATGTGAAGTCATTGCACTAAGAGGACTTTAAACATTCACTTTGTCTTAGGGAGCTTTACCATAGTTCTGCCAAAGTGGGAAAGAAATTCCCTGAGTACGATTGGTCTATGACAGCAAATTGAAGCAGGCTACATACACTGCTATAATGAGGAGAGGTTGGGTGAGGAAGATAGCAAATCCCAAAAGGAAGAGGTGTTTACTGTTAGGATTTCATTCCAAGGTTCACCCTTAATCTAGAGTGATGTTTCCAAACATATATTCTGATCCAGCCTGATATACTATTGAAAACAGCTTCTGTGGCCAAGAAATGTTTCAGCAATGAATACAATGTATTCCCCAGAGGGAATTTACAATTCCCAATCATTTACTATTGTTCATACATAAATGGCGAATGTAGTTTATTTGAATATGGGATACCTTTTTGGTAACATTAATATTCCATGGAATACAGTTTAGGAATAGGAACTTACTATCATGTGAGATAACTACTTAATTCTTCCTCATAGAGTTGATAGTACATTTAGGTTTACAAATATACTGTATTCATAACCAGACAAGATGAAAGAAAAGGAGATCGGGGAAATGCATCAGTAAGGAAATGGTTTGGACTGGTAACTGAGTTTCAGCTACAATGGCTTGATCCCATTAGGATCTCAATCTCTCTCTCTCTGTGTCTCTCTCTTTCTCCTGCACACACACACAGGCACACACTAAGGAATTCACTAAGCTTAATGCCATCATGAGGGGAGCTAAATAAATAGCTAGGCACTCTTGCCTAGTCATCTCCCTCCAGATTGTGGCCATATTGTGAGCACATGCATTCTGGAGGTATGCAGTTCAGGGATGCTATGTGATGCTACCTACAATGCTATGAGGAACTTAAACTTTGTCTTTCTTTCACCACTCATCTTGTGGCTGCCATCCTGTGATGGTGAATTTTATAATGTGTCAACTTGACTAGGCCATGGGGTTCCCAGATTAAACATTATTTCTGGGTGCCTCTGTGAAGGTGTTTTGGGGTGAGATTAGCATTTGAACCAGTGGACTTAGTAAAGTAGATTGCCCTCCCCAATGTGAGCAGGAATCATCTAGTCTATTATGGGTCTGAATAGAACTAAGATTTATGCCATCTGCTCTCCTGGTTCTCAGGCCTTTGGTCTCAGATTGTGTTATACCACTGGCTTTCCTGGATCTCTAGCTTGAGAACAGCAGATTGTGGGACTTCTCAGCTTCCATAATAGCATGAGTTAATTCCTCATTATAAATAATAAATAAATAAATAATTATCTCCTATTGATTCTCTTTCTCTGAAGAATCCTAATACACATCCTCAAAGTTACATGACAATTGCCAGGAAGAAAAGCAAGACAAGGAACAAAAACTTATCCTCCAAGCCGTCAGATAATCACTTATCATTTTTTTAAATTGCGTTAAAATCCACATAACTGAACTGTAGAAATCTTACATGTACAATTCAATGGGTATACTGTGTAACCAACACCCCGATTAAGAGATAAAATATTTTCACAATGGCAGCAAATTACTGTCTCTTTCCACTCAATTCCAATCTTTATCGACAGCCACTGTTCTATCTATTACTACAGTTTAGTTTTGCCTGTTCTTGACCTTCATATAAATGGATTCATGCAGGGTGTTCTTGTCTGCATCTGGATTCTTTCATTTAACATAATGATGTTGAAACTTATCCATGTGATAGCTTATGTCATTTGTTCTTTCTTTTATCTTTAAAATAAAAATTTCCTGGCAACCAAAGCGGAAATGGACAAATGGGATCACATCAAGTTAAAAAGCTTCTGCATATTGCAAAGGAAACAATCCAGAAGTGAAGAGACAGCCCACAGAATGAAAGAAAATATTTGCGAACTATCCATCTGACAAGGGATTAATAATCAGAATATAAAAGGAGCTCAAACAACTCTATAGGAAAAACTCTAATAATCTGATCAAAAAATGGACAAAATATTTGAATAGACATTTCTCAAAAGAAGACATACAAATGGCAAACAGGCATATGAAAAGGTGTGCCACATCGTCAATGCAAATGCAAATAAATCTACAATGAGATATCATATTATCTCAGTTAAAGTGGCTTATATCCAAAAGATAGTCAATAACAAATGCTGGTGAGAATGTGGAGAAAAGGAAACCCTGGTACACTGTTTGTGGGAATGTAAATTAGTATAACCACTATGGAGAACAGTTTGGAGGTTCCTCAAAAACTAAAAATAGAACTGCGGTGTGATCCAGCAATCCCACTGCTAGGTATATGCCCAAAAGAAAGGAAATCAGTATATGCAAGAGATATCTGCACTTTCATGTTTGTTGCAGCAGTATTCACAGTAGCCAAGATTTGGAAGTAACATACATGTCCATCAATAGATGACTAGATAAAGAAAATGTGGTACTTACACAAAATGCGGTACTATTCAGCCATAAAAAAGAATGAGATTCTGTCATTTGCAAAAACACAGATGGAACTGGAGGTTATTATGTTAAGTAAAATAAGTCAGGCACATGTTCTCACTTATTTGTGGGACCTAAAAATCAAAACAATTGAACTCATGGACATGAGAGTAGAAGGATGGTTACCAAAGGCTAGGGAAGGTAGTGAGAAGGAGGGGGGAAATGGGGGTGGTTAATGAGTACAAAAATATAGTTAGAAAAATTGAATAAGACCTAGTATTTGATAGCACAACAGGGGGACTATAGTCAATAATAACTGAATTGTACATTTTAAAGTGACTAAAAGAGTATATAATTGGATTGTTTATAACACAAAGGATAAATGTTTGAGGGGATAGATACCCAAATTTCCATGATGTGATTATTACACATTGCACGTCTGTACAAAACTATCTCATGTACCTCATAAATATATATACCCACTATGTACCTACAAAAATTAAAAATGAAAAAATTTTAATTTTCTAAGCAGTATTTCATTGCATGAATATACCACAATTTTTATGCATCCTTCTGTTGAAGACATTTGTGTTTTCAGCTTTGAGCTTCTATGGATAAAGCTACATAACTATTCTTATCCAAGTCTCTTTATGAAGATATATCTAAAGTTCTGTCCACTGAGAGGACCTCAGAATAGCCACATTCCAATAGTAACGGCCACACCTACTGTCCACTTCTTTATTGGCAAATACCATTCTCTACTAAAAGAAAACCAGGCCTTCTTGGAATAATGACTGACTTAATGTGTGGGGCAGAGAAAGTACAAAACAAGCCTGGAACAAGAGGTTTGTTTGTTTACTTATTTATTTTACAAACAACAATTTATAGAATTTTATTTCATAATCCACCAAAACCCATAACAAAATAACTAACTAAATAAATAAATAATTCTATAGAGAACGGGATATTTGCATAGTACCAAAAATTTCACCCATAAAAGTTATTATTTATAGTGAGAAAACAAAGTGAAGGAAACTGGCAGAGATATCTGCACTTCCATGTTTGTTGCAGCAGTATCATGAACATCACTAAAAACGGGTGTGATAGGCAGAATAATGCCCACCTCTGATGTCACATCCTAATTCCCAGAACTTGTAAAGATGTTACTTTATATGGCAAAAAGAACTTTGCAGATGTGATAAATTAAGGATTTTGAGATGAAGAGACTATCCTGGATTACCAGGGCTGGGTCAATGTAATCACAAGGATCCTTGAAAGTAGATAAGGAAGGCAGAAGGAGTCAGACAAGGAGATGTAATGGACACAGAGTTTGAAGTGATGTGATTGTTGATTTTGAAGACGGAAGGGGGCCGTGAGTCGAGGAATTCAGGTAGCTTATAGAAGCTAAAAAAAAAAAAAAAGGAAGGAAACAGATTCTGCCCTGGAGCCTCTAGAAAGGATACACCTATACTGATACTTTCATTTTAACCCTGTGAACTCGTTTCAGGTTTCTGATATCCAGAAGTGGAAAATAATAAGTTCGTGTTATTTAGTCCACTAAATTCGGGTTAACTTATTACAGTAGCAATAAGACATTTTTTAAAAGACAGCATAAATCAAAATCTTGTGCCACCTGATGGGATACAATGCATTAAATAAGGCATTTTTTTCTGTTATTTCTGACAAAGCCAGAGAACATAAATTTTGTCATGAGGACACATTAGACAATTTCAAATGGGGGGATATTTTACAAAATAACCGGTCTGTAATTTTTGTTAAGTGTCAAGTTCATAAAAGTCAAGGAGAGGCTCTTCCATATTGAAGGAAACTAAAGAGACATGACAACTAAATACAACACATGATTCTGACCTGGATTCTCTTTCTATAAAAGATATATTGGGACATCTGGTGAAATTTGAATGATATCTGAAGATCAGATGGTAGTAATGTGTTGATTACAGGTATCTAAGAAAATGTCACTGTAGGAAATAACACTTTATTCATGGATGATGGTGCATCATATCAGCAACATATTCTCAAATGGGCTTAGAAAAATGTTCATTATACTGTACTTGCAACTTTTCTATAAATTTGATATTGGTACTATTTGAATAAAAAATAAATCAAAACTGGGTGGTGGGGGGTACCAAACTCAAGTCTTCAGAACTCTGTGTATAAGTAAACTTTCAAGTGTGAATTAACTAGTTAGTCCAAGGGAAGGTAACTGGTAAATGACAAAAAGTAACATTAAATAACAGATGCAAACTTCTGGATCAGATTTATAAAGACTTTTCCCTGCAGGAGACAATTCTATTACATTATTTTGGGTCATTTTAAATTGTCCAGTTTTTCATTTCAAAGATTTCAAATGTTTCTGCCTTCAAAATTGAGTTTAAATCTAGTTTCTGATTCTATTTTCATTGTGTTGTTCAAAGCAGGCACACATAGAGATCTTTGCTCTCTTTGGGTTTAGGACATCCAAATTCAGTTCTCTAGTGCTGGGGGTGGGGGCAGATGCTAGGGGAATGAGAAATGGGAAGTTAGGGAGGATACTGTTTTTCTCCAATTTAACTCTGTGCGCTTGCCAGCATTCTTCCCTTTTTCCATCTTCTATCATTCTTCCCAGAAGAAAACCCCACATCAGAGATGGGTACCAAAATATTTGGGGAAAGGAAACAGTATTGTGGGAGAAAGAGAGAACCATTACATTTCCTTCACCTCAACCTAAGAAAGTATCACAATATGGCCCATATATCATTCTATACTTTTTTCACACATTGTAAAAAGTAATTCACATTATGACTTTTCCACTTGATTAAAGTGCCAGTGTTTCCACTGTATTCTCTGAATGCATTCTGCAAGATCTTCAATCTAATTTAGTATCATTCCATTTTTGTCAACAGCTCATCTAAGTGCTGACAGCTCAAATAAGCAGCATATGCTCTTCATTCATTCTGTTCTCAATTATTTGAGCAATTATTAGTTACAAATTTGCCATTTGTTAGAAGTTATTTTTATTCCTTTATTTAACTATCAAATCCCTAGTCTGTGGCTTACACTGAGATAGTGTAACTTCTTATAAGTACATTTTGCTCCAAGGAGCTCAATACCATCTCTCTCCCTCCCTCTTCCATAGTCCTCTACCTTGGCCTAACACTCACTAGCTCCTGTTGCATTCTATTGCATCTCTAACCAGTTGTGAAACTCCTTGCACTCTCAAACACTTTTCCAAAAGTGTTCTTTCAGTTAAAATAACATTATCAAAATCTATCTTCCCCCGATTATATCTTTAGCTTTGAAACTTGCTATAATGTGTTAATTATTATTTTCTCCAATTCACATAAAAAGAGGAATAAACTTTTCCCTGCTTCCCAATGCCCTTTAGTTGGCCTCATGCCATTTCCTCTTTTTCCCATCCATGCCTTAGGCCATCTGCTCCTTATACATGTATGGCCTGGCTCTCTAGGCCACATGGTCTATATGCTAACTAGATCTATATGATCCAGGCTAAATAAAGGCCTATGATTATGATACAATGTCATGACAACTCTGAAAATGCCCAAATTATATTAGTGTGGTATACCACTGCTACCTTGATTACTGGATTTCATTTTCCCTTTGTAAAGTATTCCAACAGTTATTTTATACATGCCTACCATTTACCCTGCCTGTACAGTTATTGCACTGTCTTCCATATTCTTCCATTTGTCCTTCTCTAGTTCTCGCCAGGTGATATAGACTGCCCTTGAAGTTGCCCGAAGTGACGCTATTTTTCAGTTTCTACCTATGAAGTTCCTTTTTTTGCTAATTCATTTTACTTTATTTTTCCAACCTTGTCCCCACCCCAAGTAGTCCCCAGGGTCTATAGTTGCCATCTTTATGTCCATGAGTACCCAACATTTAGCTCTCACTTATAAGTGAGAACGTACAGCATTTGGTTTTCTGTTCCTATGTAATTCACTTAGGGTAATGGCCTCCAGCTGCATCCATGTTGCTGCAAAGGACATGATTTCATTCTTTTTTTATGGCTGCATACTATTTCATAGTTTATATACTCCTTATTCTCTTTATCTGATCCACGAATAATGGGCACCCAGGTTGATTCCATGTCTTTACTATTATGAATAGTGCTGCAATATACAAATGAGTGGATGTGTCTTTTTCATAGAATAATTTATTTTCTTTTGGATATATATCCAGTAATGGGATTGCTGGGTTAAATATTAGTTCTGTTTTAAACTCTTGGAGAAATCTCCAAACTGCTTTCCACAGTGGCTGAACTAATTTACATTACCACCAACAGTGTATAAGTGTTCTGTTTTTTCCGCAGCCTTGCCAGCATCTGTTGTTTTTTGACTTTTTAATAACAGCCATTCTGGGATAGCTGGCAAGCCACATGCAGAAGAATAAAACTGGAGCTCTACCTTTCACCATACACTAAAATTAACTCAAGATGGATTAAAGATTTAAATGTAACACCTCAAACTATAAGAATCCTAAAAGAAAACCTAGGAAACAACATTCTGGACATTGGCCTTGGGAAAGAATTTATGACTAAGTCCCCAAAAACAATTGCAACAAAAACAAAAATTAACCAGTTAGACCTAACTAAAGAGCTTTACACAGCAAAAGAAATTATTAACAAAGTAAAAAGACAAGCTACAGAATGGGAAAAAATATCTGCAAATTATGCATCCAGCAAAGATCAACTATCCAGAATATATAAGGCCCTTAAACAATTCAACAAACAAAAACCAAATAATCCCATTAAGAACTGGGCAAAAGACATGAATAGGCACTTTTCAAAAGAAGGCATATAAGCAGCTAATGAACATGAAACAATGCTCAACATCATTAATCATCAAATAAATGCAACTCAAATGAGATACCATCTCACACTCATCAGAATGCCTATTTGAAATTTCTAGGAGAAAAATTGTGGGGCTTAAGAGATGTGGTCAGTGAACCCTTCATTACATTTGTAACCTACTAAATTCCAACACTGTCCTAACTTCAATTATTATTTTACCCTCAGGTTTAGATTATTCTCTCTAACTTTGGACACTATTATCTTTTGACTTCAACATCTATCCTAATTCATTTAATATTATGAACTCACATCTTAACCACCAAAACTATACTCAGCTTCTATCAACCAACACAGCCATATCATAAAAACTTCCTTCTAGAGTATACTTTCTCCGTTGCTAAAATCTCAAATTCTGAGTTTCAGCTCACTGCCCCTTCTCTTCAACTGTATTCCATCCTCATGCTCTGCTCCCCAAGGGACTTTATGTTCAAGTAGAACAATTAATTACAGATAAAAAGATCCCAAGTTTGAAACCAAATTATTTTTCTCTTGCCTAATGTTTTTATTAAACTGAGATCTTCAAGGGCAGAAACCATACATTTTATTATTCATCGTTATATCTACCCTTCATTCTTTGACAAATGATTAGCACATATAGAAACTCATAAATGTTTGATGAGTGAATGGTCACTCCTGAATTATTAAATATTGAACATTATTGTCAGGCTGGCAGATATCTTTCATAATGAGTAGAACCGGGAGAGGTGGAGGCAAAGGAGGGACAATAACCAAATTCTTTCTCAAAAATGTTCCCTCTTTGCCCTTCCTCCATGAGATTTATTTATATTATTAAACAAATCTAGAGCCATAGTACCTGAATATCGTATGTGTAAACTATTGCATGATCAGTATTAATCAAAGAAGGAATTCAGAGTAGAGAAAAGGATTAGTTGGCAGAAATAAAATGAGGTAAGTCAGTAAATTCAAGAGAAAGGATACATGTCAGTGAGATCCTGGGGAGAAAAAGACAAAACAATGTTGAAAGTAGAATAGTGTAGGATTTTTTTTTTTTGCAACCATGGTAATATATTACAAAGCTGGAAAAAATTGAGCAAAAAAACAAAATAAACTTGTATTATATTATAACACAATGTATATGATAAACATCTATGAACTTATGCTGATATAAATGATTGAATATATTAATAAATGGGAAAGAATAACTAAATCTCCCATGTAGAATAATTCCTAATAATTTATGTAGATACTCTACCCTAAAGATGGAGGGTGTAAAATAACTCTCTAATCCTTAAGTGTGGGCTAAGAATAGAGACTTCCTTCCAAAAAGTACACAAAATGAGTGCAAATGTGTAACTTTACAGTAGAGAACAAAATTTCCTTGGCAGGTGATCAAGATTCACATTAAATGTGGGAAGTCATGTGGATAGTGTGTACCTTTGATATAATGCAATGAAAATGGCAATTTAGCTCTGTGGTCTTCCTCCCAAAAACCTATAATCTAAGTCTAATCATAAGAAAAACATCAGACAAATTCCAGTCAAGGTGCATCCTACAAAATATCCGACCAGTACTCCTCAAAACAGTCAAGGTCACCAAAAACAAAGTCTAAAAGACTGTCACAGCCTAGAAGAGCTAAGTAGATGTGACAATTAAATGTAATATGTCATCCTGATGATATCCTAGAACAAAAAATGAACATTAGATGAAAACTAAAGAAATATGAATAAAGTATAGACTTCAGTTAATAATACTGTATCAATATTGGTTCATTAATTGCAACAAATATACCATACTAATGTAAGATGTTAATAATAAGGAATACCTCACATGGGGGATATAGGGACTCTTTGCACTATCTTCTCCATTTTTCTGTAACTCTAAAACTGTTCTGTAAATCAAGTCTGTTTTTTTAAAGACCTTTTTTGGTTCCATCTAAGGTTGATCTCTAAGTTTGTGCCCTTCCTTCCTCACTGCATACCAATTAAAAGTCCAAATTTCTTAGCTTAGTATCCAAGGACCTAGAATATTGCAAAATATTGTCCCTTGACAATTTGCAGCTCTCCTTATCAAGCAGTGAAGGCTTTTCTTTCAACTTTTGTATGTGGTCTTGGTCAACGACTTGCTAGTGTAAAACAACTAGTGGCTTGGAAAGTGCTTGAACATTGAGTTATGCATTCTTACACTCTTGGAACATTGCTGCTATATGAACAAGCCCAAGCTAGACAACTGAAATGATGACATGGAGGGAAACTAAGGCATACTAGCCATCAACCTGTCAGCTAGACATGTTAATGAGGTCATCCAATCCCAGTTGATCCTCTAGCTGACTCCAATGCATGGGTAAACCCAGGTAAAACAGCACAAGAACTGACCAACTGCTGAGAGCCCCAACTGCCCACCATTTGGTAATGAACTAATAATTGTTTTAATACACTAAAAGTTGAGGTGTTTTGTCACACAGCAAAGCAGCAAAGGTTAACTAATATACCTCTCCATTACTTTATCCCACCCAAGTCACATTTCCAATGTTGTTTTCCAGAATTCTCCTATGTCCCACCCAAACTGCATGATGTTTTTATTCCATAGAAATGCTTTGCACTTTCTGGAATATTTAGTTATAAAACTTCCCTCTGCCTGAAGTGCCTTTATTCTCAAATCTTTACTAAAGGAAATGTCACTCATCTTCCCCTTCTACAGAAAGTTATATATAAATATAAGGAAGAGGAGAAAACTTGGTTAACTAGATTTCCTCTTAGAAAGAGCATTGTATTCTTAAGAAATGCCGGGTGAGAGGCTGAAGAAAATGGTATTGATTAGGATGTAGACTCAGCTGCAGAAACAGAGACCCAAACTATAAATTGATTAAACAGAATAGGAGTTTACTTCTCTCTTGTGTAACAGGATGTAGTCAACCAAAGATAGGCATGAGGATTTGACAGTGTCAATCTATCTTGTTGCTCCACTATTCCTGTTGGCCTTATCTACACAGTTCCAGATGATTCATTACCACCACATGCCAGGCAGAAGGAAAGGGTCAAGGTGAAAAGGAGGGCGTGCTCATTCCTTTAGGGAAAAAGACAGACATTGTACTTCAGTTCTGCTTGCATCACACTGGCCATGGTCATATAATTATACCTGGTTGCACAGAAGGCTGGGGAATATATTGTTATCTTGGCACTCAAATATTTTACTTTTACTATAGAAGAAAGGAGGAATGAAAATAAGGCTCAGTATAGTCACTAGCACAAGGAAGCTCAAGTATATCAGCCTACTAAAACGCTATATAAAGGGCAAGAAGACAAATTGGCTTTGTTCCTGAGAGGTAGGAGAGTAGGAAAGACAAAAAGGAAGCCACAGGAATGATAGAAGGCTATGATTCCTCTCAGAAACTTTTTACTCTATTATGAATTTCTTTTCTAAAATCTTGGAATGAGAACCCTGATGAAAACTGGTAAAGAAACTCAATTTTTTAAGGTAAAATAAAGTACTACATTCCTGAATGCAAAAATTAGAGGAAGAGAGAGCCATGATAGTATGAAACCCTGATAACATACAGAAGACTATGGAAAGCTTTGAGTTTAACTGGACTTTGGAATTGGACATTAAGAAAACCTTACACTGATTTCATGAAATAGGAGATAGGAGGCCTTGCTGACTTCTGAGTACCAACAGTTTCTTTTAAAATCTGTAACATTTAAACAAACAAGGGTGCTAAAAGCAGAATTAAGCATAAATGAAAAAAAAACATGGTTTCTTTAAAAATAATCAGTGTAGAGTTCCTAATCATGCTACATATAGCAATCATAAAGTTGGCAATTTTAGAGAGCTTTAGTTAGACTTAACATAGTGTTAGTTTTAGCTACTGGAAATAGACATGAAGTATGAATCACTTTCCTGACTGAAATGTAGGCTAAATGTAACTATCACAGATTTTAAGAATGCCACCTAAATTTCTTCTCGACCACATTTTGTGTACTGACACTAAGACATCAGTAAAGGAAACAGGATGAATTTCCAGTCTTTCCAAAAGAGGCCAAATGGACTATAGTTTATAATGTTAGTGCAAACTACACAACAGATGGACAACTGTGCACTTCTGACAGATTGAGGCATGCCTGATTACAAAATAATTCATTGCTGAAGAGGCCTCGTTACCAGTAGAAGCTCTCATGGAGAAAGTTTAGTCAGAAACAAATAAATATTAACAGTCAGCAGGAAAACTTAGGTAAGCTTTGATGTTTCATTATTCATAGAAAGTGAACTTTCAGATGTTAACCACGTATAACACAGGCAGCCGTCTTAGAAGAAATTGCTGTTGATCAATTAGTCCACTCCTTCCTGTATAAGCTGTGGAAGAATAGAAGTTTAAAATATCTGGTCAACTGATGTTCTATACAGAACATCATTGTGTCCTATTTGAACTACTGGTGGGAGTTTCAGATTTCTGCCCAGATACTCAGGTAATGTCTATGTTACTAATTACTGACATGTAGAATTCAGGTAATTTTGATAACTATTTTACTTTGTTGCAACATAATAAATGTGGGAATATCTATTACACTGACAAACACATTCCTTTTCTGCACACACTATGACTTGCAAGTGCTTGTGTCCATTATGTATTAAAATATGTTGAAAGTAATAAGCAACAAATTCAGCTTCTAACACGTAACATTTGCAAAATCCTCATCTTTTTAATCCTTTAATCTCTTGTGAGCAGGCTCAACATCTCTGAATTTTGCCCTATAACCACTTCTGATCTTGTCTCTATCACTTGGAAAGGACTCAGGTAAATGCTCCATTTCCAGCCCTTTTGGGACTCAGGGGCATCTCTATAGTCTTTAGAATACCCTCAGCTGTGCTGCTTTTCTCCTAAGAATACTGGAAATTTCCAAGTACATGTTTCTGCCAATCTGCATTTCCTATGTTGCAGTGTTGTAAACTGGAACTCTAGTCCTGGTTATCCATTCCGTTTCTCCCAAATCTCAAAATCTTTTGTAAAGAAAAATAAGATAATGAATTATGACATATATACATATTTTGTGCAAACTTGTAACTATGTAAAACCAAATACCACTTAATATAAATGCTACATGTCAAATGTTTCTTTAGCATAATAGTATCTTTGAGCTATTAATTGGTTGCTACTCCCTCCTGCACATTCTTGTACCTATTACGCTTCCCCCCAATAAAGGCAGCTTTGATACTTTCTATACTGACAGAAAACATATATATGAACTAGAACAAATAAATATTTAATGGATTTTTATAAATTTATATGAGCCAATAATATTGAAATCCAGAGCTTTTGATCTTTAAGAGCCAGGAATTATGGAGAAAAAATGGACTTGGAGAGTCTAAAACCTTTCATTTGAAAACTAAAAGAAGGGCATAGATTACCTAGATCAGAGTTTATATCATGAACCAGAGCACAGGGAGACTGCTGATGACATAAGGGCAGTTTTTCCAACCAAAACAAAGTGAAACTTTTGACAAACTTACAAGTACCAGTAGGTACCTGAGAAAAGCCCCCCATATGATACTCCCTTCTAGGAGTCAAAATCCTAGGGTGGCAGGAGAGAAAATAATAGAAACCCCATATTTTGAGGAAATCTCAGAGAAGAAGGAATTACTTTCTCGTTTTTCAGAGTTCAGTCCAGAAGATTCTATGTTCTGGTTAGCTAGTGCTAGGAAAAAAACTACCTTGAAACATAATGGCTTAAGACAACAATCATCATTTTATTATTGTTCATAGTTTCTGTGGACCAGGATTTTGGGAAAGGCTGGGATAAACTTCTGGGTGTCTCATGCTTTTGCAATGAGATGATAGCTGGATCTGTAACAGTGGATGAAGGGTGTCCAAAAATCCCTTCGAAAGGTAGAGTCTCATCTCTGTTCCCTTGGGTGTCAGCTGGCCTTAGTGACTCACTTCTTTTTTTTTTTCTTTGAGACGGAGTCTCACTCTGTCGCCGAGGCTGGAGTGCAGTGGAACAATCTCGGCTCACTGCAACCTCTGCCTCCTGGGTCCAGGCGGTTCTCCTGCCTCAGCCTCCTGAGTAGCTGGGATTACAGATGCCTGCCACCACGCCCAGCTAATTTTTGTATTTTTAGTAGAGACGGGGTTTCACCACGTTGATCAGGCTGGTCTTAAACTCCTGGCCTCAAGTGATCACACAGCCTCGGCCTCCCAAACTGCTGGGACTACAGGCGTGAGCCACTGTGCCCGGCCAGTGACTCACTTCTAATGAATAGAATAAAGTCGAAGTGACAATATGAACTTCTGAAACCACAAAAGGCATTCCAGCCTCCTGCTTGCTGTCATTCTTAGATCACTTGCTCTCTCAGGAAAGCCAGCTGCCATGTTGAGAGGACACTCAAGCAGCCCTATAGAAAGGCCCATGTGATGAGGAATTAAGGCCTTCAGCCAGTTGCCAGGGATGATGCCTCTCATCAATAGCCATGTGAATGAGCCATCTTGGAACTGGATCTTCTCATCTTGGTCAAGCCTTCAGATGACTGCAACTTCAGCTGACATCTTGATTGTAACCTCGCAGAAGTCCCTAAGCAAATCAGACAGTCACACCACTCTTGAATTCCTGATTCACAAAAATTGAGGTTATTAAACTCTGTGGTAAGCCACTACATTTTGGGGCAATTTGATATTACTATGAGGCGACAGGTAACTAATATGGAGGAGAGGCTGGAGCAGTTAATGGCTCTCCAGTCATTCACCTCTTCTCATATAGTCTCAGGCCTCTCTGTGTGGCTTTTCTGCATGGGCTAGTTTGGCCTTCCTCCTAGTATAGCAGCTGGACTATTTACATGATGGCTGATAGGTCTTTTATGACCTATTTTCAGAAGTCACATAGCACCACTTCCTGCATATTCACTTCGTTAAAATTGCCACAAAAGCTGTCCAGTTTCAAGAGGAAGGAGTCATATACCACCACCTGTCACTGAGAGAAGTGTCAGAGTCACATTATATAAAAAGGTTGTTGGATGGGAGATACTGCTGTAGCTATCTTTGAAAATATATGACCTGCTACATTGCAAGCCTTATAGGGAAGTTCCATAAGAAACAGGGCATTTGAGTAGTAGATTAGCAGAGTTATAAATGTAGGAGTCATCAGTGTATAGAGGGCAATTGAAGCCATTGGAGTGGATGACATTACTTAGGGAAAGAGGATAGAATAAGAAAGAGACATAGGCTTAGGGGTCACCGTGAAGAACTCTAAAATTTAAAAATCAGGCCAGCAAAAAAGTGTTTAAAGAAGTAGGAGGAATTCCAATGTACTGTATCAGAAAGCCTAGAAAATGCATTTTCAAAGAAGGAAGAGGTGGTTATTTCAGGAGGAAATGTTGCTGACAAATTAAGTAAAATGATCATAGAAAATTGTTCATTGGATCTAGCAGTGTGGAGGTCACTAATAATCTTCATAGCATGTTATGGGCAGAAATCAGACTATAGTGGTGGAAAACATATAAAAGGAAGTAAGAATAGTTCTATGGGGAGATGAGATCAAAAGCACAAAAAGAGGAATTAGCCTTGAATAAGAGAAGGAACATCTCTAGGATCGGAGGGAAGGAATTTAGAATGAGCACAGATGAATGCATGGGGATGGAGGCAGGCTATTGAGGGAGTTTATGCTTAAAAATCTCTGTAAAGGTCATTTATTTATAGAGAATTAAAAGGAACATCCATCAGGGTGTGAGAAGCACTCCGAAAGCTTGTTACAGAGTGAAAAACAGTTACATTCCTTGCAAACCTGCAGCGTATGATCCATGACTTCTTTCATTGGAATTGAATTTCACTTTTTACTTGTTTAAACAACAATAAAAAGAAAAACAATCAACCACTTTTCTATTTAAATTTTCAAATAAATAAAGGATTTAAGAATATCACACTGTAACACCAACTGAATATGAGAATGGTAGGAAAACCCTGGTCACTTGTTGAATGCTACCATCAATTGTAAGCCATTTACCCAAGAGAAATCTAAAATCCTTCTTTCGATTTATTACTTTATCAAAAATATTGTTGTGGTAAAGACATATAAGAAAGCCCTAAAAGTGAAAGGCTTCAGATTTATTTTCAGTGTTACCCATAGCAGGAGACGGATTTCTTATATAGTACTATATTTACTGTGACCTTTTCAAATAACAGTTATTTATAACATTATGTATGAGACATTGTTGTATCACATATTTCTCTAGCAATTGGTCTACAATGGTAAAGTACCATGGATTCCTTCCCAGAGGAGATTCTTGTGAAAATTTATTACAGGCTCAAGATCAAGAGTGTTCTCAGAGAATGATTCCATGGCAGACAGCTGTTCGGCAAAAGAATAGAAAAAAGAAAAAAAGATTCCAGCATCATATGAAAATGGACTTCTGTTCAACAAAAACAGAGCTTATCCAACAGAGATAGAGAAAGGAGTTTCACCTTATTTCAGAAAATGACTGCGATAGCCTTGTCTTGCTACACCAGGTTGAATTAACATAGGCCAAAAGTTCTACGTAAATGTATATTTCTGGTTAAGAAATGTAAATAAACACAGAAAACAAGATATTAGAGATACTGTGACTGCTGAATTCACATATCTTCCTTATCCTAGGTTTGCTAAAATAGATATAATACTGCTGAAATTACAAAATATGATTATATATAATAAGGTTATTCTCAAGTCTAAACACCCCATAGAAACTCTCCTTTCCTAATCCTATTAGCCCCAATTTTATTAAATTAAAAATTATATATTATATGACTTCACCTCTGCCCACTTAAGATGCAGTCACTGTAACAAAAGTACTATGCTATGGAATTTAATTTGATACAGTTATATTTACTACAACTTACTACAATGTAATTCTTAAACTAGGTATTAAAAGACTGGGTTGATATTTCAGGTAATTTTAGAGGAGAAATAACATGTTTGGCAGTGTTTTCTGTTGGTTCAGATCTTAACTCTTAACAATTTCAGGTCCAGAAAGACCTCTACATTGCCCGTGTTTATATACATACGTTGTATGTCTATTAAAGGGATTCAGAGAACACCAGCCAAAGGAGATTCAAGAGGACGTATGTGTTTCTCTTGTGCATAAAACACTTTGCCTAGAAACATGAAAACAGAAATTTCCAAGAAGAAACACATTGACCCATCTTTTCTAATACTAGTAATTTAGCTTAATCTGATGATACCAAGTGATTTTGTCACAGGATCCTTTGAGAGTCACGTCACCAGCCGGAAACCTCTGTGGCCGGCAGCACCTCTGCTTATGTTTCGCTCGCACCAGCTGGGCTCATTCTGCCCACTTGGCCTGGCAGACTGCCCTCGGCTCGCACTACCAGCCTTGATCCCAATGCCTGAGGATGGCAGGCCAGGCGTGAAGCGGTGAGGGGTGTGGGAGTGAGCGAGCGCGAGGTCTGGCCACTGCACACAGATAGGCACACTGGATGCTGCAGTGAGGCAGGCAGCTCCAGGCACCAGCACAGGCACCTGCTCCACGCGAGAGGCTGCAGCTGGACCAGGCATACTTCAAGCGGCTTCCACTGTGGGCACCGGCGTCTGGACGAAGGGAACATGGTGGCACCTGAAAACTTGGGAGTCACCAGCAACTGCAGAGCCCCCCAAGGGCGGGGGGTGGGGGTCATGCTACAGCTCTCTTTCCCACTGCCTGCAGCTCAGCGAACCAGGGCGGGGACATGTTTCAGCCCACTCAGTCCTCCTGCCTCACTCCAGCCCACCACTCCCGGGATGGCTCAGCCCCACCACCGCTTCCCATCACGTGGGGCAGCTGCCCAACACCAGCAGATGGCGGGAGGGCTATAGTGTTACAGCTCTGGCTCAGGGAATCCCAAGGTCTGGGCCTCCAAAAGACTCGCTGCTCTTCACTCCCCTAGTCGAGCAAGTGGGAGCATGTCATCGCCCACTGCTCAGTGAGCCAGCCAGGAAAGTGTTATAGCCCTTTTCATGCCCTCTCTTCTGCAGGTCATGAGTTCTTGTCCTGCATCCAGGAAAAATGAGGTTACGTGGATAATCGGAGGGTGAGCAAGGCAGAGAAGAGTTTCACTGAGTGACAGACAGCTCTCAGCAGAGAAGAGACGCAAGTGGGTAGCTCCTATCTGCAGGCAGGTAGTGTTGACTCGTGGATGAGTCCAGGGTTTTTATGGGCTCAGAATGGAGGAAGTGTGTGTTAACTGGCCCATGGGTGGGAGGAAGTGCGTGCTGATTGGTCCATGAGTGGGCCTGGAAAAAGCACCATTTGATTCATTCAAAGGCATTAAGAAAGTTCTCACTCTGGGTACTGGATTCTACTTGGAACTGGCGGCCCGGTTTTCAGGCTTCAGGCTGTCTTTGGCTTGAAGGTCAGGTTTCACTGGGACCTGTCCCATCCACCAAGGAATTTGTCTGCCTCCTACTGCTATCAATTTGATTCATATTTTGTTTTCTTCCCTCATTGTTAATTATAAGCAAGTTTTACAGGCAGTTGCCAGTAATTTAGTGAGTACTTTACCCAAAAAAGTTTGGCACAAAGATGCACTTATACTACTATAATGTAAGCTCCTCCATTAGAATATATGTTCCTTGAGAGCAGGGTTGTCTCTCTTGTTCTCCATCATATTTCCTGTGCCTAAAATAGTGCTCAGCCCAAAGGAGGTGCTCAGGAAGAGCTGCTGAATGAAATGACCGAGTGTATCACAAATGTGCAAACTCCTGAAAGTTATAAACATTATCGTAGTTCCTTGTTTCTTCCTGTTTCACTGCATATTCTGTGCAAAGGAATTAAATGTACAGTGAATAGAAGGGAAGGGGATTAATCCAGAAGTCTTTTAATTCTAGAGAGCTTTCTCATATTTTGATTTCAAAGCAGAATCCTTATCCCTTTAGCTTTATTACTGTTGAGGCTTGTCCTTGGTCTGCCACAGCATATCATTAGCAATGAAGGCCCCAAAATTTCTATCTACTGTTGAAGTTACTACTTGGGAAAGAAAAAACAAAAACAAAAACAAAAAAAAACTCCTGCTGAACAATAGGGACATCTGCTGGCTAAAATGACAAGCTTCTATTCTTAAAATACTGCATCTAGATGCACAAGACTTGGGCAATAAGGTTTAGAGTAACACCAAATATGTGATGTGTTAAAATAACTTCTTTCCACTTGAAAAATAGGTAACATGTGTTTGTTTTAGTCCAGAATTGTCCAAGTAGCAACACTATCTGGAAAAATACTGTGTGATCGCCAGTAGTCAGCTGTTCTTGCCAAAGAATAGAAATGGCTAGCTTCCAAGTCTTCTGGCTTAAGATAATTATCTTTAATATCAACAAACATTTAAATGTCTGCTAAGTTAAGGTATTGTGCCATATATTAGCAAATCAAAGCTCATGGCAAAGGGGTAAGATGGCCCATTTCTGCTATGTCTGGGCATGCACTGAGCTCTAGTCTCAGAGGAATAGGAATACTATTCAGTCTTAAAAAAGAAGAAAATTCTGCAATATGCAACAACATGGATGAACCTTGAGGACATTATACTAAGTGAAATAAACCAGTCACAGAAATACAAATACTACATGATTTCACTTATGTTAAGTATCTAAAATAGACGAATTTTTAGAATCAGAGTGGAATGGTGGTTTACCAGGGGCTGGGGAGAGGGGATGGGGAGTTAGTAATCAGCGGGCATAAAGTTTCAAGTAAGATGAATAAGCTCTAGAGATCTGCTGTACAACATTGTACCCATAGTCAATGATAATGTTTTATATACTTAAAATTTTATTGAGGGCAGATGTCATGTTGTGTTCTTACCACAATAAAGTTTTTTGAGAAATTCAGCTAACATTTGCAAGGGACAGCCTATCACCTGGCAGTGCTCTGCTTTCACCATTTTATAAACATTTTACAAGCCAGTTGCTTTCTGCAAATATGCTTTCATGCACTAGCTTGACAAATGCTTTCCCACCTTGCACCCCCTACTATGCTTCTTTATTCTTACCTTTCTGCTTAAGTATCTTCTCAGAAAGGCCTACTCTGAACTCTCTATGTAAAAGTTCACTTTCAGAGCACCCAAGTTGTATCTTTCTCAGAACTTACAAAACATGGCAATTATTGCTTAGTTAACTAATACATTGTCCCTCTCTCTTCCATGCTAGATTATAAAGGAACAGGTCTTTGAGTCTGGGTCTGGATATTATCCTGTTTTAGTGAAGTATCTGAACTGTTTTGTTTTGCACACCAAAATTACAAAGACAGAACAAAAATTTTTATCCTTATTGGCTAGGAGTATTGGACGCCTTAGCTCTCCATTCCCTTGATAAGGAAACACTTTTCTGGCTAATATTCTATCAATAGGTCTCAACAAAGATTTACCACAAAAGAAGAAAAAAGTGAAGTGGATATAGAGAGGTTGTCACCAGGCTGAGGTATTAAAAGGATTGCAGAGATGAGACACATAGGCAAAATGCAAGGCGGGAAAAGGATTGTAAGATGGAGTGTCATAAGGCCCAGAGGGAAGCCTACAGGAAGAATCTGAGACAGGAGACCACCTGGTAAAGCCTGGTGTGTGGGCATAACTGGGACAGTTTATTCATTCCTCCATTAGCACAGCAATCTCCATCAGCTGGAAGGCCCTACAGTGTATACCCATCAGCTATATTAACAGGACTCAGAGCCTGTGTAGAAAGAAAATTACTCAGTAATTGTAATTTTCTTTTACTTTGAACAAAAGCTTATAAACATCTTTTTTTTTTCTGAATTAGCAAAAGATGATCATGAAACAACAGAACCTGCTTCTCAGTATTTGAAATACTTTATATTAATATATCAACCTGTCATAAAAGGCAATTTCATCATCAATCACTGATGAGGTTCACAAAAGTGTTATAGACACCTGGAGTCCAACAAAGTCAATTTTAACTAGCAAATGCAGTAAATACCATAGCTAAGCTATAAATACTTTAATAATTATTGTTTAGGATAGAAATACTTCTAATGATTTTTCTACAAAACATTTAATTCCTAAATAGGTAAATCCTTGGATAATATTTAAAACCTCATCCATTCCCTAGGTACACATTGACTAAATAATGAGGTACGGATAACATAGAAGTATAACTGCAGAAAATTGCTCTAGGAATCAAGTTGTGTTATGGATAGTCTTTACATTGATTATTCAAGCTAAAGGGATAGAGACGTTATTATATTTTTTTAAATTATGCATTAAGCTAATATTAAAATACATTTGTCATCCCCAAATAAATACCAATTGACTTGGGAAAAGGTAGTTATAAAAGAAACTCAACCAGAAAGGGAGAATTTAGTTATGAGGATGCACTTGACTTTTTGCGGGGAGTTAGCAGCGTGCAGGCTGACCTAAAATTTAGCAGAGGAGAATGGATAGCCCGACTATAATTTATATATCACTATTTTGTGCCTTAGCAAAAATAATCCTATATGGTTATGTCTTATGAAAAATATGGCTCATTAGGAACCACCTTATCAATGTTAATGTCAACAATTTTGCATATGTAATTATTATTTTATTAGAACTGCTCTTTGAGTAGTTGTATTGCTTTCCTGGCTTTAAGGTTTATTAGTTACCATTTTTAATGCTTAATACACGTCAGATTCCATGCAAACTACGCTGTCTACAATATTCTGGAAGGTACATCTTATTACTCCTAAAGTAAACAAAGCTAAAAGAGGTGAAGTGCCATATCCACTACTAAGAAATGGAGCCAAGATTCACACTCAGGTCTGACTGCCTGAGTCCATACCACGATACTATTCTGCCTCATAGTTTTGCTTACATAAACATTATTATGTACTTATTAAAAAATGGAATGATACACGGCTTAACTCCAACAGAATGCAGAGTGCCACAAATTAGTAATAAAGTTATCAACACAAGAAAATGCTGCTTCTGAGATTTATTTTTGAAAATTAGTCAAACATGTCGATCCTCCAGTAAAGCAAAGCATTTGTAAACTGGTTGTAATCATTTGTTTTCGTTATGAAAGTACTGCCAAAGTGTATTTTGTGAACTGCAACCGGGTAGTTCAGAACACAGGCTTTGGAGCTGAGGCTTCAATTCTAATTCCACCGCCAACTTGGGAGCCCTTGGACACATTCCTTCACTTCTCTTTGGTTCCTGTGTAAAATGGGATTCATTTGTAATAATTGTAGCGATGCACTTAGAACTTATGAACATTAAATGAGTTTAATATACGTAAAACATTTACCTGTCACATACGCACTCAAAGAATGCTGGCTCACATTACAGAACCCAAAGGCTTATTTATCCTTTTCGTTTATAAGGGTATTAAAACGCGTTTTCTATTTAGGATGGGTTTATACGGCTGCAACCCAAGGAGCATCTGTACTTTTAAGAGGAACTGGGCACAGCAAAACAGCATCTTCCTAGTCTAACAGTGAGACTACATTCACAGAGGACACATTTCATCAAGAACGACTTAACACGCCCAGATATCTCATATTATGCCCCTGCGGTAAGGCAAATCAAGTATGAAGACACACACTCCCTGTTTTCTTCAGCACTGAGATCACTGGTTCCCTCCGTTCCACACCGCGGCTCCCTCGGCTCGGAGCCACAGGGAACTATGAAAATCGGCACGCGAGGCCTAAGTGTCCCCAGAACCAGAGGAACCACAGTTGCGTCATAGCAGAAGGACCTCTTTTACAGCATCAGCAGTGGGATAGTCAGTGCCGAGTTTTCCTGGCAGGACAGCCGACAACCACCGCCACAGACCAGTACAAACATTCCAACCCAGGACCTTTTTTCGCGCGCCGACACAGCCGGAAGTGACGCGTACAGCCAGCACGCTGGGCCGCCAGCGGGACAGACGAGCGGGAGGGGCAGCGTGCGGGGAGCTGGGGGCGGGGCGCGGCCGCAGCTCCGTTTCCGGTGGCTCGTCGCGCTCGCTCACTCCAGCTGCAGCCACTCTCGCCCGTGGCTGCTTCCTCCATCCTGGTATTTTTTGGAGCTTCCATCCTGGTTCTTCCAAAGTGCCCGGACCCAAAACAGGAAGTAAGTGCGATGGAACCTTCAGGTTCCAACCGCCGCCAGGGCCGCTCCGCCCAGTGGAGCCTGTCCGGCCCCCTTGCTGCCCGCTAGCTCCCGCCGGCTGGCGCAAGCTGTCGGCGCCGGGGCACTGCGGGCGGGGTCGGAGCCTGGCCTTCCTGACGTTGCAGCTGCCGTCCCCGCACGTTCCGGCCAGGGCCTCCCTCTTAGGGCCGGGCGGTGCCCGTGGCTCAGGCTGCAGAGTAGGGAAGCGAGCGGCTGCCGAGGCACAGCGGCGATCCGGCGGGGGCGGAAAATGGCGGCGGCTTCGGAGGAGCTAAATGGCGCCGGGACCCCTGGGGGGTGGGGTGGGCCGGGAGGTTGAGTAGAGAACTGGGCCAGAAGGAGTGGAGACAGTAAGGAAGCCCTACTTGTTTTCTCGTGGTGTTCTATTTTTAGTTTTTATTTTTGTTACGTTTTCGGTTTTGTTTTATGGTCCAGCGTAGGAGAGGTAGGCTTGGGTGGGGTCGAGAGAGTGGGGGTGGGTCTCGACCCAACTTCCCCCCCTTTGCTTTTTTGTTCTTTTCCCTCGTTTGCGCTTTAGATTCTTCTGTAATTTTGCGGGGGTTCAGCCTTGCTCGGCGATTCACGGCCCAGACATAGAGAATCGGGATAGCTGGCCGAACCGTCTCTCTCAGTCTGACTCTCTTTAAAGAAGGGATGTGGGCTGGGGCGCGGGGACAGTCCTGGTGGAGCACGGAAAATGCGGCTGTAAAGTTGTAATTACCCTATTGTGCCGAGTTCCGAGAAAGTTCTTAAAATTGTTAAGTCCACTTTGTTCTCTAAAATGTACTTCGCTTTGAGAATTTCTTCAGGGAGGTATGTAGAATGTTTTACCACAATCTCCAGAGCAGATTTGAGAGTAGAAGTGGCCAAGTGCCCTTTTGTGCAATTGAATGATAGAGCATATGTCTTTATATAAAATACTCGGTGTAGATAAGGAAAAGGATAATAGTATACAGTATGAGTCAGGACTCCTCCCTTTCTCTCATTGAATTTGTGTAGTTGCTTTTTTCGCAACTCATTCATCTTTGTGTACCTCTTTTTAATGTACATGGATTTGATTATGTGTGCCTCCTTTCTGACAGTCGAGGCTGCATGTTGGGACGTCCTACAAAATGCATATTCTGTGGAATTATTTTTTAATATGACATGTCTTAAGCTTAAAGTGACGCCATTTGGAAAATTTTAAATTATACCTGTATTTTTAATTCGTGGGAGAAAACCATTTGTAGCTTTTAAGCTCCAAATACGAAAATATTCTTCCACTATGTTGAAAGTATTGCAAAATCTGTTTTTTTCAGTTAAGGGTTTTCATGTTTTTTCATTACTTCAAATTTCTTTAAGCTGGTTTTGAAATTATATTTCAAATAGCTTTCTGAGGATTACTGTCTTTTAATAACTTGAATAATTTGCCATCACTTTAACATTTAAAGAATGACTATGGCGATACACCAAAATCTTATCTTTTTGCTCTTATGGTGTACTTAGAGACAGGATTTCATGTATTTGGTTAGGATTTAGAAATTCTGTTAAGATTTAGAGAAAAAAGGTTAAAGCTACATTCCTTAACGTTACAAAAATTGTCATGCTGAGAGAATCCAATTTGGTGTGAGAATAATTTTTTTCTTCCATACAGAAAGCACAAAAACCAGCCTGATTGTATCTGGAAAAAACCATTATGTTACAGGTGTGAAAAATACATTTCATGATTGTGGTGATTTTTATCTCATTTTAACTCTCGATACTAGGTGCTTCTGTATGCCACCAAACAAGCTAATTTTTTTTCTTACTATTTTAGTTGATAGGCTCACCCCAAAATATGCTTTTGGGGACTGATTTAGCACCTGCATATTCTGCGTGAATCTCTTTAATTGGTTGCAGTTGAGCTAATGGTGGAGCCAAAATGCTATTGCCCTGTCTTCATCAACATTTAATCAGTAAGTACTGGGCATTGCATCTTTCTTAGAACTTTAAGTTCATACGTTGCAGTTATATGAATACATTATTTTATGTAAACATTTTTCTGAGTGTTCAGGTTTTAGAAGTATTTTGAGGGGAAGAAATCAAAGTTTGGGCGTTATGACTTGAGCTTTGAAAACAGCATGGTTGGGAAATGTTTACTGGTGGAGACTCATATCAAAAGTAGATAGCTGTCCTCTAGTCCTTTTTTTAGAGATCTCTTTTTTCAATCCTTTAGTTATCTCATTACACCCCAGGGGTGCTTTAAAGGTGGGGAGATAGTGTATGTATTTTATAAGGTTAGTTTGATATCACTGGTTAGTATTTAAATAACAACAAAAAACTTGCCTTTACCTCCTCCGCAAAAAATCTTACCTTTCTATTAGCCTCATTTATCTCTCCAAAATCTACAGACTCTAATTTTTATTAATGGTGTAATAAACTTACATGTCCTGAAAATAACATCTCATTATTTTAAACAGTTGCCTTTGCCATGCTTCATTAAGTGCATTGGCTTAAATTAACACCTGTGAGGATGAATGGGATAATGTGAAACAAGTATTCCTAAGGATTTACTGCCTGGCACATAGATGTTAAAATATTGAGGGAGCTTAGAAGTGTTTTTGAAAGTATTGACGTCTTGCATCACTTGTATTAAACACACATCTGTCTGTTGCAAAGACATCAAAAGCTTAGAAAGGAACAAAGTTTAAGGAGGGTTCATTCTACTTTTTTTTATATCTTATGTAGAGACTGCATATTTAACACTGAGGTGGTGTTCTGCCTTTCCAAAATGGAGTTTTCCATTTTAATAGTCCATTTTTTTTCTTACCACCATCATATTTTTCCTATATGAAAGGATTTCCTAGGAATTGATATACTTTTAAATGCTTTGCAATTGCAGCTCCTTTATGTCTCCAAATGATACAAGAAGACCCGAGAAAGTGGTAAACTAAATGATTTTTATTAAAGTAATTGCCAAATATTAAAGATAAAATATGGATAGTTACCAAATGTATGTGGCGTTTGTTTACTTTCATGTCATTTCTCCGTTTATCTTGATGGTGCTTTCATTTTGTGAAGAAAATTCCTGTAATAGAAATCACAAATAGATTTTGTGTTTGCTTTGATTCTATAAAGGTAGATAAGTTTAAATAAAAGGAGGAACGTGGTTGTGTCTCCCCCACCCCACCCCCGCCCCACCCAAGTTTGTAGAAAGATAATCCATTCCATGACTGAGTACTAGAAATAAGTTGTCAGAGAAAAGCACACTGGAGAGCTCATTATGAACAGTTTAATTTTCTATCATTTCATATATTTAAATGTCATTTTGATTATGTACACTGTTAGGTCATTCTTCCAAGCACCAGTGGTCAAAGCTGATTCATTCACTTCCCATCAGGTGTTACGTATCAGAAATGCTCATTAGGTTTATTTTAGTGCCGGTGTATATTTTAGTATCTAATGAGTAAATGTGCTTTAAAAATTAACTTCACTGTAAATCACAGGTGTCTGGTGATACTGTATATGTCCATGTAAAGAGCCTCTGATGGTGCCTTGTAGAAAAGTACTCAGTTTTGAAAGGATGAAATCTTTCAAGTGTGGCGAATAACACATTGTAAGCTCCTGAACCATGCATGAAGTGAAAAATAACATTTTTGCTTTTTGAATAAGCAATATAGTTTTATTGTCAAACCAGATATGAAATGCTGCACCTTAAAATCCTTGCTATTAAGTAATCCTCCTTACTCAAGTAATAGTGACATTGTTTTCAATAGTTGGTAATTGAAATCAACAAAGCCTGCTAGAATAGACTCCACTAACAGCTCTGTTGACATTTTTATGATATATAATCATATTTTACCATCTTAAAACCAAGCCATAGTAAACATTAATTAGGTACCTTAATTGAATATGCCTTATGTTCATTTATGGCTCTGCTGCTCAAACTTTTCCACAAAGTATATAGAGGAACAAATCCCACGGGGCCTGGCACCATAGTCCAAAACATTCTTCTTCAAGTGTGTAGTGTTCCTATTCGTATCTTGAATAAAGTTTGTGCTTATGAAGATGTTATGCTTATTCTATGACCTTACCTCTTGTCTGACAGCCCTCTGTGTACCCATGTTTAGGATGTATGAATTTGTTACCTATTATCTTCCACTAAGATTTTCTACTAAGCAGACTTTCATTATTTCAAAATAAACATATCTTAAAATTTATCTTCCAAATTCCTTAGACGTTACTAAGCAAATTCTCTTTTAAGTAGTTTTTAAAGCATTAGTTATACAATGATAGAGTAATAGTCCATTTGGAGTTTTATAATAACATAGCTACAAAAATGTTGAGTAATAGGTACGAATTAGATAAATTTAGATCTATGTGCTCATTCAAAATGTAAAGTAGTAATGATACTGGAAAATGCTCCTGATACAGTAAGTACAAAAAAGTGTGACAGTATGATCTTGTGAAAACAGTAAAAGATAGGCATGCTGATAACATGGGTAGAAGACTTGCAAATCACATAGAAAGAACATGAATGATTTTTCTTATACTGTATTGGGTCAGGAGAAAAAAACATCTGAAAACTGTCCTTACTGCCTTATTAGTTGATCTATGCCAGAGACTGTTTCTCAGCCTGTGTTTCTCAGTCTTTAACTCACCTAACAAAATTGTGGTGCTATATGTTCTGTAGCTTGCAAGATTTCACAGTATAAAGTGAGTGTATTAAAATAGGGAATGTTTTATATCATGTGGTCTCATCCCATGTTCCATTTTAGAATCACAGCTCCAAGCCTCTAGGGTCAGCAAATGTTGGTTCCTGTGCTGCTCATGATTGCCACTAATAGCATCTAAACTCTTTCATACTTGTATCAGTACTGTAGTTGGAAATGAGTATACAGCTGTTTACAGAATTAGCCCCCAAAACTGGGAAGAAAGGTGACTTTATTCCTTGATTCTGGTTTTTAGAAGATATTCAACACTTAAATGCCCAGAAAAATCAGGACGATAGGTAGACTCAATTGATGGAAATACCAGTCTAAGATAACCCATTGGATAAGAACTTTACATCAATACTGAAAGGAAGAATAGCATGAATAACTCATTTCTTTAATTGAATTCTGTGTTAAATAACAGATCCAAGAGTTATTTCTTTATGCTTATCCCTTTTCGTTCTTCCAGGCTATAGTATATTAAATAGGTTCATCTTTTTCATTGGGAGCTATAAGGTTATATTATAATGAAGACACAATAACTCCATTATAAGAGTTTTGTACCACACTTAAGGTTATGTGTTTTTTTTTTTAAGCCACCAGAATGGTTTTATTTTTGTCATTGACAACATGTACAAACCTGCAATTGTATAATTGTTTTGTTTGGTTTTTAAAATACTAAGTACACATTAAAAGTATGTTTTAAGAAATATGATGCATTAAAGAAGTTCACTGTAAACATAATTCTCAATGTATTTTCCTGCCTTGTTTCATGCATAAATAACAATCTAAGTAGTCATAAATAAAACTATCAACTTTTGTGGCCCAGAAGTATATACAAATTTTGAAGTTTGGCAGAAGGTGTTCTGTATGGTTTTATAAATTAAAACGCACAGCATTTGTATTGATTATTAATGAAATGACTTATCCCAAGTCCTTATTGTATCCCAACCTGTTCTGTCAATAATAAACGTTCCAATGTACTTGGTAAAGATGCCACATGTTTAAAAACTCAATGATTAAAATAATTCTAAAAGGTAATTTAAATAGTACTCAGTCTTATTAAAACCACTTCAGCTTGTCTGAAAAAATGCTTCTAAGGAGTGAATTCTGTACCATTATTTAAATGGCATCTAACAAAATCTAAAATTTAAGGAATAAATCAAATACATTTTAGTCTTGCAAAAAAACTTCATTGAGATTGTTACAGGAACAGAATGCTATCCTAAGTTTTCTAAAATTTATTCTTGAGTCATCAATGAGTTAAAACTTTAAGAGTTATAATAATTTTAGAAAGCCATAATTCTTGATGCAGAACATGATTAGTTTTTAATGACCAGAAATTATTTCTTCAGAAAGCATTAAATAACTGTTGAAACGTACCACCTATCTAGTGATTTATCAAGTAATCACTCAAGATTTATTAAGTACACATTTAAATTTTAGGTAATAAAAGTCAACTGGAATTTTGTACATTTCACTGTATTTCATTTTATACTTTTTTTAGGTCTTCATTTATAGGGTATAAAACTTAGAAAACATTCTTAACCAGTGTCTTCCTTAGAGTTAAATGATTCAAACAACAAGTAATGCTAAGCTAAATGCTGTCGTTAATACTGAAACCTAAGTTTCTAAAAGTTGTATTTTTCAATCAATACAAAAATGATCTGGCTCACTGTAAACTGCCTAACTTTAAAAAACTATTATTTGTTAAACAGCAGATTACAAGAAATGTTTCCCCTGTTCTTTTAAAAAACAAGATTATGAGATACATAATCTAAATAAAAATTTACAGATGGTGGTTGAAATCCTGTCAACTTTCAGCCCAGTGTAACAAATTCCATAGTTATGCATGAATAATTCAAAATTAAAGTTTTTAATGGAAATGTCAGTAAGGCATATAACTACATTTGTCAGGCACATGATAAGACTAGAAAATTAAAGCTATCAAAGCTATAAATAAGGAGTGCATAAATAACAGCAATGCCAAAACATTAGGGCTGTTAAAATTTAAACACATCTGATAGTTCTTTCTGTAAGCCACTCTCCACTGATAAAGCTATGGATAAAACTTAATTCCTTGCACAGCTTTCTAATAACTGATGATAAAGCTGAATTCCTTGTTCATAAAGCTGTACACCAATAGAATTTTCACATCTATTCAAAATTCTTGAAATCTCAAGCAGATCGTCCATGGTTTTCCTAACTGCATTTGGATTTGCTGCTACCCTCAGGTATTTTTTTCTTTAACGTGCTAAGGTATTGTGCTATTTAAAGATACACAGCAAATGATGAAAACATGCAAAAATGCCACTTCAGTTAAAATGGCTGTTAAAATTGTGTTTATTTTTCTTCTGTATCTTCTCGTTTTTAGTGTAAAAATAGTACATATGGTATAACCCATTACAAAGAAGGAAAATTGAGCTGATGTGCAGTCATGTGTTGCTTAATGACAGAGTTCTGAGAAATGCAGTTTGGGTGATTGCATGTGAGCATCATAGAAAATACACAGACCTGTACAGCGTGTTACTGTACTGAGTACAATGTTAACACAATGGCAAGTATTTGTGTATCTAAACATATCTAAATATAGAAAAGGTACAGTAAAAATATAGTGGTATAATCTTTCAGGCTTACCATATATGCACATTTGATTGTTGACCAAAATGTTACGTGTTACATGACTGTCTTTATTTTGCTCCAAAAAGGACCAAAAAAGTGATAGCAGAGTTGGCGATTTTCCTGTTTTCCAGATAAACCAAATGGGGAGGGATTCCAAAAGTTGTTAACCATAGGTTCATGTATAATGAATTGGAATAAAGGCACTAAATTACTAAACTTTCTACTCTACTATCACAATTTGATTTATTTTGATTTATTCACCACCGTTTCTTAGTCCAACATCAGAATACAGATGTATTCTGTGTAACAACTGTCTTGATTGCACTTGGTCCTTTTGTTCTAATTTGAAAGCTAAACTTCGTGAAAAAAGTATCAGTAGTTTGTCATTTCTTTTTTTTTTTTTTTTTGACGAAGTCTCACTCTCGTCCTCCAGGCTGGAGTGCAATGGGACGATCTTGGCTCACTGCAACTTCCGCCTCCTGGGTTCAAGTGATTCTCCTGCCTCAGCCTCTCGAGTAGCTGGGATTACAGGCGCCTGCCACCACACCCGGCTAATTTTTGTATTTTTAGTAGAGACGGGGTTTCAGCATGTTGGCCAGGCGGGTTTCGAACTCCTGACCTCAGGTGATCTTCCTGCCTCGGCCTCCCAAAGTGCTGGGAGCCACCCAAAATGAGCCACCACACCCGGCCTGTAGTTTCTTTTCTTCCCTACTTCTAATTCTGTACATACTTCAGTAAGGCTTCTGCCTCTACTACTCCCACCAAAACTACTTTTGTTAAAGGCACCAGTTCTCCATATTGCCAGATTACGTAGCTACTTCTCAGTTATCTTTCCCCCCAGCAGTTTTCAACATAGTTAACTACTTAATGCTCATTGAAAAAACACTCTTGTGCTTCTTAGTTAATACCTCTTAGGTTTTCTCCTGCATCTCTCTAGCTGGTCCTTCTCATTCTCCTTTGTTTGACTTCCCAAATTTAGTGGAGTGCTCTAGAACTGTAATCTAGGCTGTCTTCTCTAACCTCTTTAAGAAATCTTTAAAAACAATGTGTATGCCAGTAAGATTTATAGGTCTAATCCTGGCCTGTTGAACTCTAGTTTTATATATTTAACTCTCAGTTTGACATCTTCATTTAGATACCTTATATCTTATATTATTAGTATTAATACTAATATTAATAAAAATAACCTACCTTTTGAATCTTGAACTGTGTGTGTTACCCATTAAAAGTGAAACTAGGTCAGTTTCTTAAATATTAATAAATGTACTGACCACATAGCTCAGACTATAGGGGAAAAAAGGTGAGTCAAGAACATATTTAGGATGACGGGACCAGGCACATTGGCTCACGCCTGTAATCCCAACACTTTGGGAGGCCGAGGCAAGTGGATCACCTGAGGTCAGGAGTTCGAGACCAGCCTGGTCAACATGGTGAAACCCCATCTCTACTAAAAAAATACCAAAAAATTAGCTGGGCATGGTGGCACACGCCTGTAGTCCCAGCTACTCAGGAGGCTGAGGCAGGAGAATCACTTGAACCTGGGAGGCGGAGGTTGCAGTGAGCCAAGATCGTGCCACTGCACTACAGCCTGGGCAACAGAGTGAGACTCCATCTCAAAAACCACAAAAGATGACAGCATAAAAACAAAAAAGGTGACTGTATCCCCAGTACCTGCATATAGTAGAGGTAATATATTTGGATATATTTGTTGATTGAACAAATAAGCTTGATAATTTACAAAGTAGCATAGAATCATTCACTAATCTCTAACATGAGTTGCAGAACTTTAAAAAAGGAGCCAGGATTCCTGTTCTTTTTCTCAACGTTGTGGATTAACTGGGGTCCTGAAATGATATCATTAAAATGTTAAACCTGTGACCATTTTGCACCTATAAAATAAGCATTGTACTTTTTGCTTTGAAGTTTTTAAAAAATAACTATTGGCAAGATTACCAAGAGTACAGTTTGCATCTCAATGGTTGGGATATAAATTTGTGCAATTTTTTGGGAAAATATATTGCAGTATGATTGAAAAGTTCGAAATTTTGTCATATCCTTTGATTTAACAATTTTTATTTACTAATATTCAAGGAAATAGTGTAAAAATATGTTTTTCAGTATGGGTTAAGGAAATTAAAAATTGGGAACAACATAAATGTCCAGTAACGGATAACTGTTAAATAATGTCATGCTTTTTATTGCAGCATAAGTTTTATTTTTTGCTTTTCTATTTTTTGAGACAGGTTCTCGCTCTCACCCAGACTGCGGCCTTGATCTCCTGGGCTGCAGCCATCCTCCCACCTCAGCCTCCAGAGTAGCTGAGATTATAGGCATACACCACCACACCTGGCTAATTTTTTATTTTTTTTCTGGAGACTAGATCTCACTATCTCAGGCTGGTCTCAAACTCCTGAGGTTAAGTGATCCTCCTCCCAAAGTGCTGGGATTATAAGGGTGAGCCACCACGCCTGGTGCAGTGTTAAGTTTTAAGTAATAACTTTTGTTAGATGCCTACCTTGGTTTCCTTCACACTTTTCAATCTGAGCAGATTCTAAAAAGCAGGATATAAAATTGCACAATACACTATAATCACAGACACACATACACCGGGAGATGAGATTAGAAGGAACTACAAAGAGTATGAAAAATCGTTGGGAAGTTTATGGATGATTTTAACCTTCTTTTTTTTACTTTTTTACATTTCTTTCTCCCATCTTTTGTAGTAGGTATTACAAAAAAGCCAGCCTTTAAAAAATTAATGGATTCAGAATGATAACAACATGAAATCTAATAGCTTAATGGTTCTCCAGCAGGATCTGTACCTTTTTCACTGAAAATGCAAAGAGGATCTAATTAGAATGCCGCAAAAATTAGAATTTTAATCCCTAATTTTTGCTGAAACGTCCCCTTGAACCTCAAATCATGTGCTTTTTTTTTTTTTTAAGGTCTTTGGTTGGCTTTTGAGGATAAAGATGAGAAGCTTATTGAAAGAAACCTTTAAAAACCATTTCATATTTCATAAAGTTTCACATTGCTTTCAAGAGCTTGTAATTTGTCTTTTCTGGCCTAATTGTTTAAGGTTTTGTTTTTGTTTTTTCCACAGATTCCTAGATAGGGTTGTTCATCTGTCATCTTAAAAGGGTTTTCTGGATGAATAGGGTACTATATAATTTTTAATGCTTTAAGATAAAACATAAAGAGGTGTTAATAATTATAAAGGAAAACTATAGTTACTAATAATATTTATGGTGCTGTATTGATTGATATACACATCATGTTACATAATGGTACCACAGTCTACAGTTCATAGAATCACTAGCATAGCTGAGCCTGTTTTTTTTTTTTTTTTCAGAGAACGTTTGTCTGCCTGATGAGAGCCACTTGGGTTAAGAAACTACCTGTGAATAGTCATCATTTCTGTCCTTCATTGGGGAATACTTTTAGAGGCCAGTTTCCAAAAATTCTGCTTAAAAAAGAATTCTGGTTTTGTCTTACTCTTCCAGATGAGATATCACAGAGGCTTGGGCCTAGATTGTCATCAGCATACTGCTATACTATTCGTTTGTTCTTATTAAGCCTTATTGTGTGTAATGCTGTTACTTTTTCAGAGTGTTGCGGAGATAGGAACATGGGAGAGAAACAATCTGGGTAACATGAAAGTGATGCTGGTTGCTAAGGGAAGGCAACTTGATTCTGTGGGAAGGGCTGTAGCTGATCCATCCGTTGTCTAGGTAAGTCTGCTTCTGTTGCAAGGATCTCACATGATTTGCAAATTTGTCAAAACTAGATCATGATTTCCATTTACCTTTATTTTGGGAATGGCATAATTACTATTGTAAAATGAATGATGTCCTTTTCAAATAGTAATTTGCATAGTAAAATTTTAATGAATTATTGGATCTTTACCATGTAAATGTTAATATATTTAAGTTTTTGTGCCAAAGGAAAATACATTCACTTCAGTGGTAAATATATGAATGGACTAATATCTTGTGTATAGGAGCCAGAGAGAGCCAGGCGTGTTGGCACGTGCCTGTACCCAGCTATTCGGGTGGCTAAGACAGGAGTATCACTTGAGCTCAGAAGTTCAAGGCTCTAGGACCCTTAAGACTGTGCCTGTGAATAGCCTCTGCACTCCAGCCTGGGCAACAATGAAGACGCCTTCTCTAAAAAAAAAAAAAAAAAAAAAAAAGCTTAATAAACATTGAGTAATTATATCAGGGTTTGTGTCCTCTGTATTATTTAGTTGGTAAAACATACGTGCCAAAAGTGAGTATTGAGGCAAGAACCTCCTTAAACCTTATAAGGTATTTCTGAAGACTTCAACCAGGCTATTGATTATAGTTTCATACCTTTCCCCCCACTAGCCATGAGATGCTATATTCTGAGACTAGTTATTCCATCTGTCTGAACAAGAGGAAAATAATATTTGTGTAAAATAGCAGGTAAGGATACTTTGAACGATGTTCAAAGTTACCTGTTTCAAAAGAAGGACTAACTCGTCTTTTAAAATTACAATTTGGTCAGTGATGGATGTATGCACTTTTTCAATATTTTGAAAACACAGCAAGAATTATTTAGTGTTCCTGTTTTTCAGATAATAGAGCTTAAATACCTGTAAAAAATGTTTTGAAAAAATAATTCTTAAGATAAAAGTTTTGATGAATCTTCTGCTTAAAGAAAAAGAAGTTAAGTACCTACAAAGCTGTCCATAAAAACACAGTAAAAAAGTGGGGAAAGTTTTGCTGATAAGACGGATTCTCTTTTGTTGGATGTTGCAAAAACGTTTTTTAAAGTATTACAAATGTTGTAGGTTTTTAAAATTTATCAGAGCAAACAGATTCTTTGAGATATCTAATTCTAAATAATGGGTATAAATTTGTGAAAGGCAGTTTTTGAAATCTGAACTCTCATTGCAGTTTTACATGAAGAACACTGTAGGCAGATACCCAAATAAATGTGTGTGGTATTTCAGGGGATTATAAGGGAATACTTCATATTTGGGAATAATTTTTGAAATCCTGATCTGGAATCTGTTCTTGTACAGATTTGAGTATGAGCACAGTGGAAGAGGATTCTGACACAGTAACAGTAGAAACTGTGAACTCTGTGACTTTGACTCAGGACACAGAAGGGAATCTCATTCTTCACTGCCCTCAGAATGGTAGGAGAACTTGCTGACATATAATTCTGACTCTCTGAATTTATGAATTCCATGTCACTTTTGACCCCTATTGCCCAAATAGGGGTCTAGGTGCCTATGAGTTTAGGCTGCACAGTAGAAAAGGAGATTATCTCTTTAACATAAATGTTAGTTTTTGTCAATCTTGTTGCTATGTTATAAATAGGATCTGTTGAGCCCCCAAAGGTAATGATGGAATAACTATAATATATACTTCTTTTTTTATACTAATTGGTACCAGCAGCATAGTTAATACATTAGAAAATGTAGAATTATTCCTCAATGCAAGTAGACTTTTTTGTTAGAAACTGTGTTAAAAAATTGTACACAATCATTTCAGTATGACTTAATATGGTGATCTACAATGAATTAAGATTCAATAGCTTTCCAGCTGATAATTTTGTTGTTACTCCCCGACTTGCTCATTATTTATGTCATTTATTTATTGTGCTCTGAAGTTCATCTTTACTCAACCTAGGTTATGTCTTCTCTTCTCACTCTGTATATAATTCATAGGTTATTTAATTCAAAGTTAGGATTTTAAGTAGCACCTACCTATAAAGATGACTCAGAATCTGTCTTTATACAGAATTCTCTGTGCTTCTCATAGGCATCTTAAGTTTCATATGTCCCAAACAATCCTTACATGTACTTCCTAAACCTAGTTCTCTTTTTTCCTTTCTCTGTGAATTTCATTACTTAGTGTCCAGATCATGAATGTGGTTGGGAATAAATTACTTCTCTCATCACCTGCATCATTTCATTTGAAGACTTCTTGATAGTATTATGTTTTTTAAATCCATTGCATCCTCTCTGTTTCAAGCCTGCCTTTGTTAGTTCAGTTTCTCATTTCTCATCTAGGTAGCTCTAATACCCTTTTAACCAGTGTCCTACCTATCATTCGTCTTTCAAGCAGCTGATGAAATTGTTCCTGATACATTTAATAGCATAAAGCTTCCCAAGGTTTTTAGAATATAGTACAGGTTCTTTAATTTGGCCCATAGGCCCCAGTCATTTCTGCTTTCCTCATAGTCTTACCTCCTGCCGCATTTCATATACCTGTGTTCCAGCAGATCACACTATCTTTATTTTCCTAACATACCTATACCTTAAGCTTCTCATACGTCTGTGTCATTGCACATATTGCTTCTACTGCCAAGAGAGATAGCAGTTTTCCCCGGGCTTCCCTTCTCTTTCAAGTTTAAGACACCGCCTTGAGGAGTTGAATACTGCATTGCAGTAGGCATAGAAAGGCAGTGTCCTTTTGAATCCTGTTTGCACAACTAGGTTTAGTTAAATGAGCAAATTGGTAAGAAAATTTTTTTAATAGATAAGAAAATTGTAGAGCCATTGTTAGAGATTTTATTTTCCCTCTTTGGTTTGAAATTTTTGTTTGTTTGTTTTCTTCCATTAGAAGCGGATGAAATAGACTCAGAAGATAGTATTGAACCTCCACATAAAAGGCTTTGTTTGTCCTCTGAGGATGATCAGAGTATTGATGATTCTACTCCTTGCATATCAGTTGTTGCACTTCCACGTAAGTCACTACGTATTAAGAGCCATAGAGTTCCCTTTTAAAATCAAAGTTTAGCTTCCAAGGCTTTCAGTTGGCATTTCTAATAGACTTGGACTTACTGCTTTTTTCTTCATTTAGTCAAACCACCTCTTTTTAGCTAACAATAAATACTATGTGCCAGGCATATCGTTAAATACTTTTATGTATATTGCCTACTTTAATCTTCCCAACCTTTTTTTTTTCAATTGCCCCACAAGGAGCCTTTTTAGACTTTTATTCCTGATTGTGCTTTTCATGAAAATTACAAAATGTCCTCAAAAATAGCTTGTATTTCTTAATGTACTGTCTGTATGTCCTTGCTTTGTTCATAAAGATAATAAAATTGTTTGTCACATGCATTTCCCCCTACCCCAAGAACCATATTTGCCCTCATTGAGAAGAAAGCATGCTTTACAATAGGTACTAATATTGTTATTCCTATTTTATAAGTCAGGAAACTGAGACACAGAAAATTATAATAACTTGGCTAAGAGCATATCTAGGCATTCTGGTTCCTGTAATACATACTCTTAACCCCAATGCCATATTGCCTCTTCAGTATGCTGTATGACAGCATGAAAGTTAGAAGCCTAATTAGTTTATTCTTACCGAGAAAGTTCTTAATGTGTTTCTATTTCAAGATCATTTAGAGTAGACTGGCTTCTATAGGAGGTACAATATTTCAAGTGCAATACTGTTGGCACAAGACAGCATACCAACTGCAACATTAGGTTGTATTTCTGATTTGCTTAGCAAAGAGTGTGGAGTGTTCAGGAAGATTCTGGAGTAGATGCTTTTGTCCATGGCAATGGGGATGCAACACATGGCTGTTGGCACTCTTAGCACAAAGGAGGGTTTTGCCATAGCTGAGAACTTTGATTTTACACTCAGCATCAGGCAAAATCACATCTTCATCTTTTGAAAAAGCAAGACTTGGTTTTCAGCATGGAAAATCATATCTATCATATCTTAACAAGTAGATATGTACTCTGAATTTAGAGTTAATTGCTTGCTAAATTGAACAGAAAAACTTTTAGTTTACTGTAAGACTTAATTGAAAAACAGTGTTAATATTGCTTCCAGTTGTGGCATAGACAAGCATAACATTTCTAATTAAATATTCGTTCCTCCTGATGATTCCTATGTTTTTTTAAAATCTTTCCTAATTTGACTATCATTATGTTGTGATTCAATTCTAAAACTTAATTGGCCTATCTATACAGATGTAATCCTAAATATTTTCTAAGCTAGAATTTTTGAGTGGCTATTTTGATATAAATTGACTTCAACCAATTCATTTTGTTAAAGTGCAATGTCTTGTTCATGATTGTAGGTTCAAACTACACTTGGTATTAGTTTTATTTTATGGTGGTAAACCAAATCCTTCATGGCGCTGTTCACTTAGCTTCAGATAATAGAGGTATGTTGACATGAAAGCACATGAGCTGCTTAATGTTGGGTCATAGCATCATCACATATGGAAGACACACTGAAGCCTTATGTTTAGCAATAAGACTGATAAAGTTTATCTGTCTAGATTGTAAAAATCCTCACAGCATCAGCCTAACTCTCATATTAATCATTCTAACTCACCACTTCTTTTTGTAGTCATCTGCCACTACATTTATCCCATTCCCTATTTATAGTTGTAACTGTATAGTGATTACAGTATTCATCTAGATGATTCTTTCAGTACCTTAGCCTCTTATTCCTTTTGTTCTCCATTTATTACTCCCTTTACCACTCTTACCTATTACTAGAGTCCATTTGTGATCTATTTCAGACTTTCTGTTTTCCTACCGCTACTTCTGTCTTTCCAGCTCACTTCCTGTAGGGCTCTAACTCTGTAGTCTTTTGCCTCACTGGGCCCCATTGATCCTGTTACGTTTTCATTGTTCCTTCTCTACTTGTATCCTTTCTTTCTTTTTTACCCTGTTTTACTTTTATGGTTAATCATTATAATCACTGTCTTGCATTCACCAAGTCCTTTTTTTTCTCTCACTTATTTGGTGAACTCATAACTGTCTAAATCTGTCTTTGTCTGTTTATTTCTGTACCAGTGCAGCTAATTGAAAAGTATTAGAGAAAAATGGCACAAGCAGGCTGACTATTCTCACTCTAATTCCTGATCATTAACCTGAAGTGGGCTCATAATGCTGCCCACCAGTAACAACAGCTCTCTAGTGTTCTTTTTCCCACTCTGAGATGACTGTTTCATTTGTCCCGAAACTTGCAAATACCTTTTCCACCTTTTTACTCTGAGCTGATAACCCTATTCCCTCTTCACAAAGAAAATGGAAGTAACCAGAAAATAATTTCTACAAATTCCCACTACCACAAATACATACCTACCTGCATCTATGTCCATCCATATATTTGTTGTCCTATCTTAGGCCTACCCTTCCATTTACTTAATTTCTTCCCCTTTACCTACTCAAGGACATTGTTCCAATAATTATTTTGTTTCTTCTGTATCACCAGTTTTTCTTCTACTGAGTCATTCCCACAGTATCACAAACATACTGTTATTTTTCCTTAAAATAAAAAGTCCCTGGTCAGGCATGGTGGCTCATGCCTATAATCCCAGCACTTTGCGGGGCAGAGGCGGGCAGTTTGCTTGAGCCCAGGGGTTTGAGACCAGCCTGGGCAACAAGGCAAAACTCTGTCTTTACAACGAATACAAAAATTAGCTGGGTGTGGTGGTGCACGCCTGTAATCTCAGCTGCTAGGGAGGCTGAGGTGGGAGAATTGCTTGAGCCTGGGAGGTTGAGGCTGCAGTAAGCTGTGAGTGTGCCACAGCACTCTGGCCTGGCAACAGAACAAGATCCTGTCAAAAAAATAAATAAAAAGTTCCTTTAGCTCACTTTTGGTTCTTACTCAATTTTCCTCCTTGCCTTTAGAGCAGAATACCTTGAAAATTGCCTATATTTGCCTTCATTTCCTTTCCTCTTTTTCCTTAAACTTACTCCAGTCAAGCTTTCACCCCTTAACTAAACTGTTTTTCCCAGCTCTCCAAAGACCTTCTTGTTGCCAAATTCAATGGTCACTTTTTTAGTGTTTGCGTTACTTGATCTGTTGGCAACTTTTGACAATATTTATTACTCCCTCCTCCCTGAAACGTTTTCACTTGGCCTGTAGAAAACATTCCTCTGGTTTTCTATTTTTCTGTCCATTTCTTCTTAGTCTCCACTGCTGACTTTTCCATGTCACCAGAACCTCTAAATGTGGAGCACCCCAGGACTAAGTCCTTAGACTGCTTCTTTGTTTTCTTTACTCACTTTTTAGGTGATCTCAACTCAAGGTTTTAAATACTATCTGGTGTTAACTACCAGATTTATTCCAGACCAGACTTCTCATTCTCTAAATATTTAGCAGTTGTCTCAAACTAATGTATTTAAAGCAGAGGTTCTGTAACTTCCTGAATCCTTACATTTGCTTCTTTTACAATCTTCTCCTACTAATTAGTAGCAGGTGTATTCTTCCAGTAGTTTTGATTTTTTTTAAAAAAATTTAACGTTATCCTTGGCTCTTCAGTCTCTTCCATCTCTTCTTTGTCTACAAATCATAGTGGCTCTGCCATCCAAAATACATTCACAATTTGAACTACCAGCCACTCTCACTTGCCTTCACCCTAGTCCAAGCCACTGACCTATCTTTTTTGCATTTGCCCTTCAGACTGTTTTTCTTATAGCAGCCAGAGTGAGCCTCTTAAAATAAAAGATTATATTATTCCACTATTCAAAATCTTCCAGTCGTTTCCCACCTAAGAGTTAAAACCAAAACCTTCTGGCTTACAAGGGCTTACACAATCTCCTACTGTTCTTGTTTAGTCTGCTTTAGCTACACTGGCCTCCTTGCTATTCTCGTGAACACTCCAAGCATGCCCTGTCTCAGAGCCTTTGCACTTGGCTCTCCTTGAAATGCTCTTCCTTGAGATACCTGTAAAACTAGCTTCCATCCTCACTTGTTCCAAGTCTTGGTCACTTTTCCTAGCCTCCTATATAAAATTTCAAATACTATCCTCCACCCCAACACATTCCCTTTCCTGTTAGGTTTTTTCTCACTACTAATCACCATCCAACGTAGTATCTTGTCCATTTTGTGTCTTTCCCCACTAGAATACAGGCTCCATGAAGAAAGGATTTTTGTTTCCCTTGCTCACTGCTATATCCCCAGCACCCACAGCAATATCTACTATGAATTAGGTGCACATTAAGTATTATTAAGCAAATGAATGTATGTATGTGAAGATGTATTAACAAGGAGTGTGTTAGGAAATTAGATGATCATGTTTTTTTTCCCATGGATATTTTTAGAATAATTAGAACTTGCCGTTATTATTCTGGAGATGAACGGTTCCTTTTCTTGAAGTTTCAGAAAATGATCAGAGCTTTGAAGTGACCATGACTGCAACCACAGAAGTAGCAGATGATGAGGTTACTGAGGGGACTGTGACACAGATACAGGTATAGTAAATCTTTTAACTGGCCTCAGGAGGATGATCCTTTACACATTGCTTAGCTAATAAAATGATGAGAAACCTCAGCCTCCCAAGTAGCGAGGACTACTGGCACATGCCACTGTGCCCAGGTTTAGCCCTTATTATGAAACAAATTACAAAGTTTTTTTGTTTTGATTACTGCCAAAGAGTTGAGTTATAATTTAATATTTAGCCTCTTGGTTTGTTATCACCATTTTAGTGAACAAAAAACTTTTCATAATAATTTCTAGTATTTGTTTAATAAGATTAACTTTAGACACAAAATGGACAAGATGTGAACTGAAAGTCAGCATAGTTAAAAACCCCCTCAGAAATAGTCTGTTTCTTACTGTGTCTTTGCTGTGAACCAGGTGCAGCTATTTTGACATAGTTTGGTAGTTAATGTACTGTGTCTCCTTCCAGTGATGAGACTAGCTTGAAAAACAATTAGAAACTATTATAAGTCCCTATGTATATAGTACTTTGTGGTTGCAAGAGGTCTTCAGTGGGCTGAATATTTTAATTTCTAAGCCTTATATATACATTATAGGCATGAAATCCTGCAACCAACTCATAAAAGCTTCATTTTAAAAGCAACAGCATACTAAATAAAGCTGAGTCAACTTAATAGATGCATAAAGTAGTGAAAAATGGGGGTAAAATACTCTAAGACTGATTAATATTTATATGTCATACATAGATAGGTACCCTTCAAGGTACCTGAGTTTCCTGCTGTTGTACTCACTAAACTCATTTTATTGACAGTGTTGAATACTACTGCTATTGCTTAAGAATTATTTGCTCATTTGAGGGAAAATTTGAGCCCTAAGGCATTAAATGTTTGCCCCCAAATAGTGGTTAATCAGCATAACAGACTTATTCCTAAGGTTCATGGAATGGGCTCTGCTATATAGACATACTTTGGGAAATGGTGATTTGATTCTCATATCCAACTGATTAAGAGAAGATAATTTAAGAGTATTTTCTACATTATAGTTCTTAAAAGTGAGTATTGTATGTATCAAGGTCTTTTGATAGCTCTCTGTTACACTCTTTACTGATGTATAACTCTAGGATCAAATCTTATAAAAATTGTGATCTTCAGAATATAAGAAGCCTTAGACACATATAGTCTGTCTCAATTCTTAGCTTTATACAGGTCCCTCTTGATTTAAAAAATCAAAAAGTATGACATGTAAATAGAGGGCTATAAAACTTATTCACACTTGTTCCAGTGATTTCCAGCTTTTTGCCCATGGATTCAAAAACGCTTTCATAAACACACTATATGTATTACCACCAGATATAAAAGTAAAGTAATAGGCAACAATAGAAATGTGGCTTTTCTCCTAATTGTACCTTGGTTGTCCACTGACAGCTTACCTCTTTCCAAGAGAGATGAGGACAACTTATCTCTTTCCAAGAGAGATGGGTTTCAATTTCTCTTTATATTAGAAGTTCAGTTTCTGTTTATTCAAGAAGTAGTAGTCCAGTCCTTCTTAGGATTTACCTTCAGCCGGTGACATTGCTTAGTCTTTTTTTAGCCCAGAGACTGAATTGGGTTCAGTGGTCACTAAATACGTGACTCTTCCCTTATTCTGCTTACGATAGGCTAATACCTCATACGGTAGCACTGTTGCCAGGTCTTCCTCATTTACATTACGGTTCTCTTTAGGCCAGGGTCAACTCTGCCGAAGGCAGCTTTTTTCCCCTACAGGGTTTGTTAGATTAGATATGCTTGTAACTGAAAATACAGCTAGTGGTGGTTGCACAGAAGACTTAGCTGCATTAAGAATAAGTAGTACCATATAGTTCTTTGAGAGAAAGGTGCATTAATAAGGCTCTAGAGGTTGGCTAAAGCAAAGTTGTCAGAAAACAATAAGCGGACAGTGATTTTGCAATAATGACTTATGATTGTGCCTGTTAATATTTTAAGTTAAGAGATGACATTATTGATGATTTAGGCAGCAAGCTTATCTCTGAGGGCATTAACAAATCATAACACCCAACCCTAGGACTTCCATTTTCCTATCTAGAACAGATAATAACTGTATATTGTATATTGAGCTCATTTACATGTGTAAATATTTAAATTTCCCTGAATATTCTATGTTGATTTAAATACTTAATGGACTCTTGGCCCATTTTATATAAAACTGAAGCCAATAGTACATTTACTTGCTTAAATGAAGGTCATATTGTGTTAATGCATATAATTTTGTTTTCATACTGCCATAATAAAAACAGCAAGAAATATTTTTTTGTAAATTGGATATATTTTTACTATATCTAAAACAAGTGAATTCCATATGACTATATTTAAGTTTTATAATGCTTAGCATTACAAAGATGAATCCGGTTGAGCATTAAATCAAGCTGCCATTTTTTTGTTTTGTTTTGTTTTGTTTTGTTTTACTTTTACCTTTTCAAGATTTTGCAGAATGAGCAACTAGATGAAATATCTCCCTTGGGTAACGAGGAAGTTTCAGCAGTTAGCCAAGCATGGTTTACAACTAAAGAAGATAAGGATTCTCTGACTAATAAAGGTAAGATAACACTGTGAATTTTAGTGCCTAGTGAAAAAAAATGGAGATAGAAAGGGCTTATAGTCATCAGGATTCTGAGTTGGACCTTCATCACTGGGATTGAGCAGTTAGAGTAATTGAGCTTTTCTAACTGAATTAAATTTGGCCCCAAATGACTTTGAATTAAGGTTATGAAACCACCATTTGTTTTTCAGTAATTAATTATTTCTCCCCTGATTTGAAGTAAATTTTGTCTTGTTAATTTTTGAACAAATGCATAGTGGTGGCATTTAAGACAATATAGTTATTGCTTATGAGAGTAGGAAGTCAAGCCTTTTCAAGGGTCTACTAACTTTGGTCTGATAAGCAGCTTAGAGGCTCAAGGTAACATAGTGTTTACAGTGTTGGCTATGCTCAAGCATAGCTGGGGAAGGTGCTACAAAAAAGTGAGGGTTGTGTCTGTGCCACTCTGAAGTACAGAAAGGAAGCAGAAAAACGTAAATAATTTTCAACCACTGTATAGTAAATACTCATTAAGAATACATTATTCACTTGATATTCAATATTTACCTTGCCCTAGAGTTTTTTGTATGTGTTCTTTTTGCCCATAAAATTTTCACTGGAGAAATTTTTCAAAAAGTTTTGAGCATGTTTGGCTTTTTTTATTTTTATAAGTTTCTTTTTAGCTGTTCTATATTGTTGAAAGGCTAAGAGAGGTAATTTTTTTTAAATCTTTTAATTACCATTGTCTTTTTTTAGTAGGGTCAAATAAATGTATTCTAGCGTAAAAACCAGAAGTTACAAAAGCAAGTTTACCTAGAGACCTTTCAGATTTCAGAGGAATGAGAAATGAAATTAGCTAAATTTTATCCCCAAATATAATTTAATCACAAAGGAAATCTTTGGTGTTTTATTTCTTTCAAGGAGTAACATTTTTTATAACATTACTTGTTTTCTTTTAAAGGACATAAATGGAAGCAGGGGATGTGGTCCAAGGAAGAAATTGATATTTTGATGAACAATATTGAACGCTATCTTAAGGTATCTTATGGCATATTTTTATGTTTCACCAATTTGTTTATTGCCAATTGCAAAAATATCAACACAGAATGTTGTGTGCACTTATTAGGAGCTTTTTACTTATTTTTGTAATGGATTTTCATAATGGCTAACATGTAGCTGAATAATTCTAAAATACATTATTATAGTACAATAATATTTTGAATTCTCAGTTTAAAATAGCTTTACTGCTTTAGTTACCACCCTAAAGTTTAGATAAAATCTTAGTAGCCTCTCAACATTTTAAAGCCTTATCTTTTCAAGAAGCCTATAGAGTTTAATTTATTTTGTTTAAAGCTTAAGGTATGCATCTTTGTTTTGTTTTGTTTTGTTTTTGTTTTTTTTTTTTTTGAGACAGTCTTGCTCTGTTGCCCAGGCTGGAGTACAGTGGCACAGTCTCAGCTCACTGCAACCTCCGTCTCTTGGGCTCCAGCTATATTCTCCTGCCTCAGCCTCCTGAGTAGCTGGGATTACAGGCATGCACCACCACGCCCGGCTAATTTTTATATTTTTAGTAGAGACGGGGTTTCACCATGTTGGCCAGGCTGGCCACAAACTGCTGACCTCAGGTGATCCACCCATCTCGGCCTCCCAAAGTGTTGGTATTACAGGCATGAGCCACCGCACCCGGCTAAGGTATGCATCTTTGAATGAATTTTTGATGTCATAGTAGTCCTTACCTTTTAAAAAAAATCAAAAATTTAGTTTATTTTCTTATTCAGGTTTATTTCTTATTAGCTTAGTACTCTTCATTAAATGTCTTTTGAACACAGTATTTTTAAGGCTTTGGATTGTGTTAAGGCATGGATTGCTTTAACAGTGTTTGCTTTTGAAGTCAGTGATCCATTTGGGCAGACTGGAAACAGGTGAAGAGTGTTAGAAAGCCTGGTATCATGTGAATGATACATGTGAATTCTGTACAAGATTACAGAAAGAAGAGTTTTTAGAGCAGTTATGGAAAATTTTGGTAGAGAAAGGATTTGAGCTGTCTTAAAGGATAGAACTTGGGCTAGAGTAGAACTTGAGGGAACTGCATGAATACATGCCGAAGCAGCAAGAAATCAAAGATCAAAACCAACACACATTAAATTAACCCCTTTACCTTGAACTAAGATAAATAGCCTCTGGAAAACTGGGCTCCGAAGTCCATGCCAAAGAATTTGAACTTTATCCTATAAGAGATGAGAAGCATTAAAGGGTTTAAGAAAAGCTAGTAGTTTAGTTGAGTAAGAAATTGGTGGGGTAAATCTGTATTCTCAAGGAAATCTTTCTAGAGACTTGCTGGCCATCTCTGTAATGGAGTTAGATTCAAATAGTGTTATGTCTAAAATGTAGATCATTAGCATCATTTGGGGAAGGATGGTGTACGGTGTTTAACCATTCTCCTATCGTTTGGTATATTGACTGCTTACTCTTTTCCACTCTACACTAATGTAGAAACGCAGTGCTGCCTAGAAGGCCCACATTTTTAAGTTTAATTTTAACTGCAACTTTCCCAACCTAAGCTCTTTGAAATACAGAATTTTAAAACTCTAATTCTTCACTAATAAATGAGATCCTTCCACCATGTTTGTTGTTTTAAGAGAAACAGAAATACAGTGGCCATTGAAAATGAATCCAGAAGTGTATTTCAGTTGTCCTCTAGTCACATATGCTTTAGTTAAACCTGGAAAATGCTATTAGTTTAGATAAAGCAGTAATCAGTGCTAAGGAACACTGAACTTTGAGAATTAAGCTGGTTTCTTGTCTAGGGGATTGAAGTAGATGATCTCAAGGACCCTTCCAAGTTAGTGATTAATGGGCAGGAGTGTGAGTAGGATTTGAGACCTTTTAGAGGACTGTTTCAGTAGACCAACTGATTGTGGCAAAGGACTTAAACTACAGTGGTAGAAATAGAATTGGTAGGGAAAGGGCAGATAACCAAGTATCTGCAAGGATGCCTGAACTGAATGTTGGGCAAGAAGGAAAAGGAGTTAGAGCAACTTAAGAGTTTTTATTTTAGGTGATTGGGAGAATGATGATCAGATTGGCAGAAATAGGAAATGTCCAAAAGATTATTTTGGAAAAAGATGATTTGTTCAATTTTGGTTTTTGACCATAGCTTTTATTATGTGGTGCTCTTCTAAGACTTCTGTAGAGCTAGTTTTAAACTTCAGAGAATTCGAATTAATTGGGTGTCATATGTTTCATATTTGGGTTAAAGGATAAATGCAAGTAACGTCTATAAGCAAGAAAAAGGGCAAGGAGTGTGGAGGCAGGAGAATCTTTCATCTCACTCTGTGGTCATCCTGCAACACAGTGTGCTTGCATGTAGTAGCTCAGTAAATATTTAGGTTTAATCATTGGCAAAATTGGAATTGCATAAGAAAGAATTTTAGAAACCATTCTAAAATTTAGAAATTTTTTGCTGTGAAGTTTCATACATTCAAAAGTGTATAAAATGCATACACTGTGATTTCACCTGTTTTTGAAATTTATATAAATAGATTCATTCTCTGGATATTCTGTAACTCAGTATTATTTTAATATCCTTACCCATTTATTTAGGTGTATTTCATTGTGCAAATGTGCAAGTTACCCATTTCACAGTTAATGGTCATTTGGGTTCTTTTTAGTTTTTTATTATTCATTTGTACCAATCTAGTGGGTGTTAATTATGGTTTTAATTTATTTCTCTGATAACATTTTGATATGCTTATTGGCTATTTGTGTTTCTTCTTTGAAATTCCTGTTTGTGTCTTTCACCAGTTTTTCTGTGGAGTTAACTTTTGTTTAACTTAGACTTTCTTAATGTATGCTGGGTACTAATGGTTTATTGGTCATTTGTATTACAGATACCTTGTCCCAATTTAGTGGCCTGTCTTTTCCTCCTCTTTAGGTGTCATTTGATGAGAAAAGATTTTTAACTGCAATATCAAATGTATCACCTTTTTTGTTTGTTTGTTTTGCATGCATGCATGCTTGCTTGTTTAAGAAATCATTCCCCGCCTCAAGGGCATGAAGACATTCTCACATTATCTTGTAAAAGTTTTATAATTCTGCATTTCATTGCTGTAGGTGTGAGATATAATTTCAGTTGTATCTCTTTCTGTGTAGATGTCTAATTCCTAATTTACAGTGTCCATTCTGTTCTAAATCAAGCTGCCACAAATTTGTTTCTAGGTTTTCTAACTTGTTTTTAGGTTCTGTTTGTTGATACTTGCACCAGTACAGCGCTGTCTTCAGAAATCCCAATATCTGATGGGGCAAGCCTCTTCATAAATATCTTGGCTGTTCTTGGCCCTTTGCTCTTTTGTTATAAATTTAGAATCAGCTTACAGAGAGTGAAACACTCAAATGGAGTTTTTATTGGATAGCATTGAATTTGTACATCAACTTGGGGGGAATTAATATCTTCACAGTATGTCATCTTCCTGTTTAAGAACATGGTATAACTTCATTTAGTTAGTTCCTCTTCAGTATCAAGTTTTATATTTTCCTCCATAAAGGACATTGATAACTTGCCTAAGTTCTGATGCTCTTAATTTTGACGCTGTGTGGGAGCTTTTTAAAATGTTATGTAAACTGTGTAGAAACGCAAATAACTGCATTTTGATTTTGTATCTAGCAACCTTGCTAAAATTAGTTCTTTTTTAAAGTAACATATTTTTTTCATAGATTTTTGGGTTTCTACATATATATCGCAAGTGATTCATCTTTTCTATTCTTTATAATTTTGGTTTTTTTAAAAATCTGATTATCAGTGAATCCTAATTTGATAAGACATACGAATATTGAATTTTATGAATGTTTTTCCCACATCTGTTGAGATTTTACATTTTTTTCCATAAATTTGCTGATGTGATTAATTACATTAATAATTTCCCTGAAATTAACACAAACTTGTATTCCTGGGATAAACTCACTTTTCTACGTGGACATACTAATGTTTTTATACATTGCTGGGTTCAGTGTGCTAAAATATTATTAGGATAGCTATGTTAGTGAATGCGTTTGACCTGAAAATTCTGTTCTGAAACTGTCCTTCTCTGGTTTCACTATTAAGGTTATGCTAGCCTGATAAAATAAGCAAAGAAATGTACCCACTTTTTTTTTTTTTTAAACTTTTGATAGTTTAAGAACAGGATTGTGTGTCTATTTGGTAGGATTTACCTATAATGTCATCTATGTCATGTGGGCCTAGTGTTTTTATTTTGAGAAGATTATTTAATAACTGATTCGATTTTCTTGATGGTCTGTGCCTATTTGATTTTCTGTCTCTTCCAGAGTCAGTTTTGGTAAGTTGATGTTTGATGTCTTCTAGGAATTGATTCATTTTACCAACATTTAAATTTATTACCATAAAATTGTTCATTTCTGTTAATGGTCTAATCTCTGCAGCGTCTCTATTTAGGCCTCATTTTTCCATTTCTAATACTGTTTGTGTCTTTTTTTAAAATTTTGGCAGAACTTTAATCATTTCAAGTTTTATTAATCTTAATGGATGTTTTCAAAGAACCAATTTCTAGATTAGTTTATCCTTTCTGTGCTTTGATTCTGGATTCCATTGATTTTGCTCTTGTGATTTTCTTCCTTCTGCTTTCTTTAGATCTATTTTTAACTTTTTATAATTTTAAAAGAGTTGATGGAAATTCAATTTATTGAATTTGATAGTTTATTCTTGGAACATTTAAGTGTCACTTTTGTATCTCTTGCATCATCTTAAAAGTTTATATTTGATTTATTAATGAATTAGTGATATATTATTTTTCTAAATGCCGTTGATGACCTTTAACATTAAAACAAATTTTAAAAGCATAGTATATCCATATGCATTTTATCAGAAATCCCTAAATCAAAGAAATGTAACCCATTTAGGCACGCGGAATAAAAGATGCTACAGAAATCATCTTTGAGATGTCAAAAGACGAAAGAAAAGATTTCTACAGGACTATAGCATGGGGTCTGAACCGGCCTTTGTTTGCAGTTTATAGAAGAGTGCTTCGCATGTATGATGACAGAAACCATGTGGGAAAGTATGAGAACTTGTAATGCTGCATGTTTTCATGTAATTAGGGGAAATATTTGAGGAACTGTCCATTTTTTTAAACAATAGAAATATGGTCAAGGTATTAATTGTTGTTAATATTTTTATCCTCCAGGTCCATGTTGTGAATATGGTGAAACCTTATTATTAAAGCCTCTTTTAGAAATTAGGATCTAATTCACTTTATATAGGTTAGATTTAAGACTTGGCTTACTTAATATGTCAAAGTCTGCTTTGTAGTAAAGTAACATAAAAAATACAGTAATGATTAAAGATTTAAGAAGTGTGAAAATAACTTGAAATTTATTGGTAACATTTTTCCTATTTATTTTTAGAATATAGCATTCCTAGGTCAGTGGCCTTTTTTTAAATCCAGAATGGAAAAGAACTACATTTCTGAAAACAATGTATGGATTTCTGTTTTAGATAGCATTTATGGGAAGGCATCATTAAGATTCTTCAAATGCAATGATTATATACTGTTACTGACATATTTTTAATTTCTCTTTGGAAATTTTAGGTGGCAGTAGTATGGCTTATTAGATACTGCCGAGCTAATGTTGGAGCTCTTTCTCTAGCTCTTCAGCAGCCTGCTAATGAAAGTACATTTGAAAGCTGAAGAGGATTAAATTATGTTTTTGTGACAGTGGAAAAAGAGAAAAAATTTTAAATGGAGCATAAATGACTTGTTAGCAATTCATAAACTTTCCATGCATTACAAATGGTTACAAAGTGAGCAGCGTTTCATAATTATTAAATGGACATTTTTAAAAAGAACATTACATAGGCTGTATTGAGTACTTGCCTACTGTAATAAAGAGCAAGAGTATGTCAGATGTCCATACCTGGGTAAAGGAAATGAAGATAATCTTAATTTGTTCAGTGCTTTGAGGGAATTTTCTGTAGATTTTCTTTTTAGCTCTAGTTTACAATGTCACCCATAAGTTTTTTTGGAGTAGTTATGATTTGAGAGTGCCAAAATCTAAGTTTGAAATAAAGGAACTGTTAGACAGCATAGGAGCAAATGTATGTTTTAAATGTTGATTCTTTTTCTAGAGAAAATTATACAATCCTTACCTTTATTATAACTAAAAAATATTTACTGTTTAAAAAAAAATAAAAATAGAAGCATTTATTTTCAACTTTTTTTTTTTTTTTTTTTTTGAGACAGAGTCTGTGTTGCGCAGGCTGGAGTACAGTGGCATGATCTTGGCTCACTGCAACCTCTGCCTCGTGAGTTCAAGCTATTCTCCTGCCTCAGCCACTCTAGTAGCTGGGATTACAGGCGCCTGCCACCAGCTAATTTTTCTGTTTTTGGTAGAGATGGGGTTTTGCCATGTTGGCCAGGCTGGTCTCGAACTCCTTGCCTCAAGTGATCCGCCTGCCTTGGCCTCCCAAAGTGCTGGGATTATAGGCGTGAGCCGCACCCTGCCTATTCTCAACTTTTATTAATCCACTTTAAAATGGGTTACTTTAAAAGTATTATATGCTAAGTGACTTAACATTCAGCTCCCTAAATGAAATTCTGATTTTTATTGAGGTTTTTAGCATTCATTGTTTTAATTGATTTTTTAAAAATTTCTCTGAATTTCTAGATATACACCTGAAGAAATTGAGAAGCTCAAGGAGTAAGTTTTAAAGTTTTTTTCATTAATTCTAATTTTTTATGTCTTACGTCCTTAAAAGTTTTACTTTGAAAATTTCAAGAGGTTTTTGGCAGACTGGTATAATTGAATTGTGCTATTAAGCATGATTGGCCTTAAAAAGATCACATCAAATCCATTACTTGCACAAAATAACCATTCTCATAATGTATAATCTGGTCTCCTGATGCCATTCACCAGATGCTTCCTCAGACCACTAATAGGGGTTCCAGAAAAGATTAAGGGGCCATTTTTGGTAGCCTGAAGACTAAATTTGGGGAATTTATATACCAGGATGAAAACCAGGGTTGTGCTACATGGCTTGGTTTAGAATGGTGACTTGGCAAATGTTTCAGTGAATATCTGGGCTGACTCAACCTTGCAAAGGCTATTGAATCTCAGGAAGTAGAATTTTGCTTTATTGAGTTAGACCTTAAAGTATGGTTTAATGAATTGTATGGATCATGAAAAAATTTGAAGGTAGATTCTGTTTATAATGATAAAGACCTGTGAAACTTTAGATGTCTAAAGAAGAGTTTGTTGGGTATATGCTCAAAAGGGAAAGTCTGGGGCTTGCCTGGGAGATTGTGTCAGTAACCTGAGGGGAAATTGGTCTTTTTTGAACACATATCCAAGTTACTTATTTCTTCTCTGACCCAGGAAAAAGGCAATTGCTGCCTGTTTTTTTTTCACCCACAGACAACTGTGGACCCCAAAAAAAGGCCACACTTTCAAACTTTGGCTCTCAAAGTATTGCTGCCCACAACTTCCAAACCAGTCAAATGGGAAGAAGAAGAATGAAGAATAAATGATGAAATTAAAAGGGAGAAAACAATTGAACCAAATGCTGATTGGCAGACTCTTGTTTTAGGCTCCGGATAAAGCATGGCAATGACTGGGCAACAATAGGGGCGGCGCTAGGAAGAAGTGCATCTTCTGTCAAAGATCGGTGCCGACTGATGAAGGATACTTGCAACACAGGTACTGTGACTACTACTGGTAGCGTTTTCTTGTCACCACTTAAGCCTCCTGCCCCTTAGGATACTGCCTTTTCTTTGCTCTTGGGGAGCGATTTAGATCATTCACCTTAGTTCAGACTTTATTTTCTAGTCTTCCTTTTCCTTGAGCTTATTAGATATATCAAACTAATCTTTTACTTTGTTTTTGTATAAGGTAACATTGTCTTCAGGGACACAACATCACCTTAGTGTCAAGATGATTCAGATCTAACATGTTTCAGTTTTGTAACAATTTCAATACTTCCCCAGTTGAGAAAGTATTTTGAAGACATACATGCAGCAAGTAATTTTAATTTAGGCCCATCTAACTGTTGAATTTACATTAGCAACAGCTAATCAGTGAGTGTTTATGAAAAACTTTAGTCACAGGTAAGTCCCAAATTAGGAAGAAGCTGTGTTCCAAAGATTTGTAAATATTTTGCTTATTTTAAACTCAAAGTATATTTTTCCATAGAAAAAATTTATGATTGGTGTTTCAGTCCCCTGGCAAGACCACAAATGCCTCTTAATGCATGCAGATGTCCTGATCATACTGTTAAACCTAATCTTTGCGACCAACAACGTATTTAGGCTCTGCTATTAACTGTCATTTAACCTTTCTGAGCCTCACTTCCTTCTGTAAAGTAAAGAGATTAGAGTAGGTGGTCTCATAGTGCCCTTTTAGCCATAATGTTCTCTGAAGGATCCACAATCCATGCCCACTGTTGCAATTAAAAAAAAAATTTCTGAAGTTTAGCTTTAGCTTCCAGGGCATATACATTTTGACCTTAACCCCCTGCTCTAAAAATGAAATCAGAATTCTTTCCTGCTTAACTACTGCACTATCACTGTTACCTGCAGGGCAGTGAGAACATAACTTCTACCAACTTTGTCATTCTGTGACATGGCCAGCTTAATGAAAGAAGCAGGGCTGTAAGCTTTAGATTTAGGATAGGATCTCAGAGTTTCATGTAAGATGCTGTGAGTACAGAACCCCTTTTGGTAACAAAATTTGGAAGGACACAGTGGCATTTCCTGATTGCCAACCTGAGGGATTGATTGATCTGCCTGCTTCCTTCTCATGTTGTGACATACAGCTGCTGATGAGGCCATGCCATGAAACAGCACAGTCTCAAAGTAGTCCCATCCTTTCACAGCATGCTAGAATAGGAGAGTAGAACTTTGTCTTGAATCCATCCACAGTATTCATAATTGTGCTTGGCATATAATGAAAATTCAATAAACATTTGCTAGATGAATGGAATCCCAAAGCAAGCACAGTCTTTTTGAAATTTTCTAGAGGTTTTCAGCTAGTAATAACAAAATGGAAACAGAGGTAAAGAAGATGAAAAAAAATGGCTTTTTTCCCTTTCTGTTTTTCTGCTCTAGCTCCATAAGAAAAAGACAGAGAGGAACATTTGGGGTTATCTATTAGTGGGTTTATGGGTTGAGAAAACACAGGAATAAAAGTAAATACTTGTATCAGACTTTACTAATATTTCATCACAGTAGCTTGGAGTTGGGATAGTGAGGAAACAAGATGGTAGAAACCTAGTTTTTACTAAAATAGGTTGAGCCCATTGGTGTAATTTCCCTTGTCCCTCATCATTCATTCCTATAAGTAATGGCCTCTTGAACTTACTTTTGCAGAGCAGGGAATCTTAGGTGACAGTAAGAAAAAAAGCATGCCATTTCTTGTCTGTCAGCCATTGACGAAGCTCTTCCCACTTCACTGTTTATAAAGGACTTAGTGTAACTTGAGAATACATTCTTCTTTGTAGTTATGTTTTGGGTGGTTTTTCTTTTCATAATTGGTCAGTGCTTTCCATTAGGATTCTTTATTTTCTTTTCTACTGAGACCCTTACTGGGCTAGTAAAATGAAACTGTCTTAGTGGGTATATATGGTTTTCCACCAGAGGGTCATTCAGAAACAAACTCTTAGTACTATTGCTTACTTCCTATCAGTCCTTGTAAATAGAGGGCTGAATCAGATTTGTAAAAGAAGTTAGCAGTGGTAGTCTGGATGATTTCCTTTTTTCAGGGAAGTGGACAGAAGAAGAAGAAAAGAGACTTGCAGAAGTGGTTCATGAGTTGACAAGCACTGAGCCAGGTGACATAGTCACACAGGGTGTGTCTTGGGCAGCTGTGGCTGAACGAGTCGGTACCCGCTCAGAAAAGCAATGTCGTTCTAAATGGCTCAACTACCTGAATTGGAAACAGAGTGGGGGTACTGAATGGACCAAGGAAGATGAAATCAATCTCATCCTCAGGTTTGTGTCCTGAATCTTGTAATGACAAAAGCAACTTAATTTCTGTGGATGTCTTGATAGACTTTCCTCTTTTGGTTTTCCTGGATGCCTAGTGTCTGAAAAGTATCCTTTCCATAGAGCACTACTGTTTAAGATCTTAAGTATTTCATATTGAGCTCTTTTTTTGTGTTGTGTTTGTTCCTTTTTTTTTTTAGTGGGTTTAGTGCTCATGCAAAGTACCAGATTGAAGGCGTGGAGACTGAAGTCCTCTCTATATCCACAGAACAGGTATGGCACAGGCAGCGGCAGTGTAGCTTTTCCACTGTCCCACCAATGTGCCTCAGTCCTAGCCTAGGGGGAACACGTTTAGGATAAGAGGGCTGTTCAGTCTCCATGCCCTTCAATCCTTGGCTACTGTGCTAAGATTGCCAAGAAGGGGGCCCAGTCTGTAGTTACCTCCACACCTCCAAAGTAGACCAAATCAAACACATCCATTTCATACAAATTCAAAAAAGCTTTAAGATATCATAATCCCAGCTTATTTTTTTAAGTAGCTGGTTTAACCATTAAGATTTATTAACTAAAATGGGCAAAAATACTAGCAAGAAATTATTTAAGACCCTGAAGTAATAGAGACTGTCACCATGGCTACTCCCTACCGAAAATCAAATTGTCACAACAAAGCTAGAAAACGAACAGATTTTTTTAAACCTCAAATTTTGTTGTACTGTTGTGTTGTTTTTTGATTGCAGCTATTGCTTTTGTGTTATTTTGTTTTGGATTTTTTTTTCAACTAGTCATCTTTATAAATAGCTCATTTCTAAATATTTTTGCTTAACAATGGAAACGCTCAGATCCAGGAAGTAAATGACTTAGTAAATGCCACACTATGAAACATTGCATATATACAACTAAATCTGTTCTTATTCTAACCTTTAGCATACTCCTTTTCCTTCACAGTGCCTCATCTGGCTCTAACCATTTATAGTTTAGCCCATTGGTTGTACCTTTAATTAAAAGTGGTTGCTGTTGGTATTTCTTAGCTGTTAGCTCTGAAAGCAGATCTGCACTCCTGGAATCCTTTCCCGTGTAACTTAACAATAGCATCTCATTGGCATAACCTGCCATTCCCTTTATTTGCCAGTGCAATTACCTGTAGTCAGAGGAGGGGTTCTTATAGAGAAATTAATTTAATGTCTAACGATGCTTATTTTGTAACTGTAGGATAGCAGAACTTGATGTAGCTGATGAAAATGACATTAACTGGGATCTGTTAGCTGAGGGATGGAGTAGTGTCCGTTCACCACAATGGCTACGAAGTAAATGGTGGACCATCAAAAGGCAAATTGCAAACCATAAGGATGTTTCGTTCCCTGGTAATGTATTACTTACTTTTTAAGCTCCTCCCCTTTTCTTACCATATTTACTCCTTAGGAGTGAGAGGTTAGAAGTTCTTTGCCCCAGCTAGAGATATCATAGCAGATTTCTACTTACACCACTTCCCTGTTTCTCTCAGTAATTGTTTCCTTCCCCAGAGAAGAGTTAATACTGTTTGTAATTCCTAAAGCCCCTAAAATGAAAATGTACACACTTATTCTTGTTCTTCTACGTAAACTATCAGGAGGAAATAAAATCATGCCACATAACGATTTAATTTTTATGTTTTTAGAGACAGGGTCTAGCTTGGTTGTCCAGGCCGACATGCAGTGGTGTGATCATAGCTCACTGTAACCTTAAACCTGTCGGCTCAAGTGATTCTCCCACCTCAGCCTCCTGAATAGCTCGGACTACAGGCACACACCACCATGTCCAGCTATTTTTTTTCGTAGAGATGAGGTCTTGCCATGTTACCCAGGTTGGTCTCCAACTCCTGGGCTCAAGTGATCTTCCCAGCTTGGCTTCCCAATGTGCTGGGATTACCTGCATGAGCCAGCATAGCTGGCCACTCATAACCTTTCAGTCAACAACAGATGTCATACATAGTATTGGTCTCACAATATTAAAATACTGTATTTTTACTTTTTTTCTATGTTTAGATACACAAATATTTACCATTGTGTTACAGTTGCCTACAGTATTTGGTACAGTAACATGCTGTAAGGGTTTGTAGCCTAGGAGCAATAGACTGTATAGATCATCTAGCCTACGTGTGTAGTAGGCTGTACCATCTAGGTTTGTGTAAGTACACTGTGATGATCCCATGACAGAATCACCTAATGGCTCATTTCTCAGAACATATCCCCATCCTTAAGTGATTGATGACTATATTTTTATTTTGTACAAAGATGTACTTCTGAAAACCTAAGTTTAAGTCAACTTTTGTGAGTTGTATAATTTCAAATATCTTAGCTAGGTGTGTTAGAGAAATTCTGTGATAATTTTGTAGAACAAAGGCTCTGTAATTTTCTAATTTTATTAATTATATAAATCTAGAGATCTTAAGTTGGGTTTGCTTAAAGTGAAGCATACTTTTTGTTGCCTGTTTTGCATTTAGGTATTAAACTTAGTTGTACAGTCTGTTTAATTTAGGTTACTAAATTTATTCCCCTTATTATAGCACTCTTAACTTCCATTATTCCAAAGGAAAATTTAATGCTGAGGAACTTTGCCTTGATGAAAATGTGGTTTTTTAAAATACCCAGGTATAGGCCAGGTGTGGTGGCTTATGCCTATAATCCCAGTACTGTGGGAGGCCAAGGCAGGAGGATCACTTGACGCTAGGAGTTTGAGACCAGCCTGGGCAACATAGCAAGACCCCATTACTACAGAAAAAATAAAAACCAATTAGCCAGGCATGGTGGGCATGTGCTTGTAGTCCCAGCTATTGGGGAGCAAGAGCCTGAGGCAGGAGGATGGCTTGAGTCCAGGGGTTCGAGGCTGCAGTGAGCTATGATTATGCCACTCCAGCCTGAGCAACAGAGCAAGACCTTGTCTAAAAATAAAATTAAATTAAAAAATCCAGTTAGAGAGGATAAGCGTATTTTACGAATAGAGCAAAGCAAAGTCTAGAATTGGCTTCCCTGCGCAAGAATACCATATTACTGTTTGGAAAAGAGAAGTTGCTACCTCTAGACCAACAGTCAAGGGCCCTTCAGCCCTGGCGGGGAAAACATACACTATTCGTTTAAAAAATGAAAATAAGCTGTTTAGCATTGCCAGTATTCTTCCTAAATAATAATCCTATCAAGACACCCTAGAATAGAAAATGTCCTGTTTCCATGTTCTTTGTAATGTCTACCTTTTTTTAACACTATAAATCTTAGATGGCAAGAATAACAATATTAAGAATTAAAATTTGTTACGATGTTTATAAAAATCTCAGGATATGTTGTTTTTTAAAATATCTTATTTTTATAAGCTCTCACATCCAGTATGCAGTTATTTATTCCAAATACTTTCCCTCCTTACCTCCCCCCACCTCCCTTGCTGCTTAGATGGTGGTCTGTCGGAGAATCAATGTTCTTTTTGTCTACCCATCTCCCTTCAGTCTTAATAAAAGGTCTTAAACAGTTACATGAGAACCAAAAAAACAACCCAACGCTTTTGGAGAATAAATCAGGATCTGGAGTTCCAAACAGTAATACCAATTCCAGTGTGCAGCATGTTCAGATAAGAGTTGCCCGCTTGGAAGATAATACAGCCATCTCTTCTAGCCCCATGGCAGCATTGCAGATTCCAGTCCAGATCACCCATGTTTGTAAGTGTTTGATCTTCAAGATTCCTTGCTGTTTGATCTATATGATTTGGTTAATGGCTCTGATGTCTTTTGGTTTTCTAGAATGTTAATAGAAATTTACCCAAGTCGGTGAACTGAAGGACATCTAAGATATTTTGTTTAGTTCAGTTAATATTTGCACACACAATGAATGTGTGACAGGAAGGATGTATAAGCAGTTGCCCAACCATTATAAACCATTTGAAACCATCTTAATTTCTAGATTTTGTAATTAATGACTTAATAGAAATTATTAAAAATAGAAATTAGAATGAATGATAGAAAACTACCTAAAAAGCAGTCAATCAAGCAAAGAAATAGAATTCACCAACTGGTATGTCGTGTAGTAATTTCACTAGAAGACATATCAATTGGGGATTGATTTGAGGTCGTTTGGTAAAGAAATGAGTTTTGGCAAGGTTAAGAATGATTTTCTTCAGGGAGTAAAGGGCCAGTTTCCTATTGGGAACTGTGTTTGGACAGTTTTATGCTTAATGAGATTATGGGAACCCAGCCATTGTTAGAGTGAGAACTTTTTTCTTCTTTAGGTATAAGTCAAATTGATCTTTATCCCTTCCCGTCAGTCTTGAATTATAGTGACAAAAAAAGGAATGAGGATGAAATTCTCAGAACCATATTCTTCCTTGTTTTTGGTCTACATATGCTACCTGCATTTGAAAAGATAACCCAAGAGTATTCCAATCACTATGTTAGTCTCAACCAGGTGATTATTGGCATTTTGAGCGACAGGTTTTTGCAGACTGTCCTTTACATTGCAGGATATTCAGTGTCCTTTGATCTTGCCCACAGAATATTAGTAGTACATGCCAGTCATTATGAGAAACAGAAACACCCTGCATGTTTCCAAATATACCATTATGATTCCCTGGTTGAGAATCGCAGAACCACATATTGGTGTTTAACACCATATATCCATGTACATTGACTGTCAGAGTTACCTTAGAGACATTTAAACTAACCATACCTCTTATTCTTAAAATCCTAATCTGAATTTGGTTATCTTTCTACCAGTGTAATCAACAATGAAGGATTTCTTTTCGTTTTTGTTACAGTCTGAGGATTGCAAAGCAACTAAAATTACTAGTCCAAGTAAATATGAGAGTTGCTATTGGTTATAAATTGATTGGGCATGTTAGTTTTTCTTGGCTATTGAGTTGACAGTACCCATTGGGAAGACAAACATTTTATAAATGATACCTTAATATTGATAGCATCATTTTAAATAGTATTTAGAATTTTCTCTCTTACAGCAAGAAAAATGAATATAGTTAAGTGTTCTACAATCCACCTATTACCTGTAGCATTCTAACTAAAATCTCTTTTCGTTTTTTAGGTTAGGGAACAGGGATCAGCAAATTTCTTTATGTAATGAGCCAGATAGTAAATATTTTAGGCTTTGCAGGCCACATAGGTTTCTGAGGGATAGTCTTTGTTTAGCTTTTAAACAACCCTTTGAAAATGTGAAAACCATATTGGCCTTAAGCTACATTTGTCCCTGACAGTAGTTTGCTAACCTTGATTTAGTTTTATCTGGAATCACTTCAAATTATTATAGCTGTGATCTTATGGATCCATCAAACAGTAAGATGAATATTACAAATCAAGTGCATTTCTATTGGTAAGGGCATTAGATTCCTTTTAAATAGCTGAGAAGTGTTGTAGTCAGAATTTAATAAACTATAATAAACATTACACAGTAAAAGTTCCAAATCATATTTCACATAATTTACCTATAGGTATGACTGCAAGCGCCAAAAAAGATGACATTTCTAGCATGTTCTATTTAACCTTGAGCAGACGTTGATAAAGTCTGATCCTCAGTTGACACACATGTAAAGACATTATACTGTCTGATCTTTATTCAGTCCCCAAATGTGGTCTTCGGAAATAATGCTCTCTTAACATTTATTTGTGTTTACAAGCACTTTTGATCCTCACAGCTGTATGAGGTAGGCAGGACAGGTAAAAAAAAAAATACCTGAACATTAGTTTATAAAGTAAGTTATTTACCCAGGTTTTATACTGCTAGGAAGTGATTAAAGCCTAGTATTTTTGGACTACCAGTCCAGACATCCATAGTGCTTACCCATATATACAAGAAAACTAGTTTTTACCAAGTTCCTGTCTTTTTGCAGGTTGGTCTTAGTGTGTTCCTCTTTACTTCCTACCGTTAGAAACATTTAATCATGTATACCAAGGGTTAGCAAACCTTTTCTATAAAGGAACAGATATAGTAAATATTTTAGGCTTTATGGGCCTTCTGGTGTCTGTCACAGGTACTCAACTCTGTTGTAGTGCTAAAGTAACCACAGAAAATATATAAACCAGTAGGTGTGGCTGTGTTCCAATAAACTTTATTTACAAAAACTGGCAATGGGCTGGATTTGTGGGCCATAGTTAGCCCACCCCTGCACTATATGTCATGCAAGACAAATTCATTAGATTCCTTATCTCTCTTAAGAAATGTAAATGACTTCAGGTCTCCAGGCAAATTATTCAATATTAAATTGCCTTTATGATAATTGAGTACACTAGAGAAACTTAAATTAACAAAACATTTATTGTAAATTATTCTTACCACAGCTTACCTTATTCTTACCACAGCTTCAGCAGACTCTCCTGCTACCGTTGACTCAGAAACAATAACACTAAACAGTGGAACACTACAGACATTTGAGATTCTTCCCGTGAGTAACGCTTCATATATATTGGCCATTTTTATGCATGAGAAAGATCAGTTGCTATCACTTTTGTGTTTCATTTGCTTATGATTCATAAAAGTCTGAGGCCAAATGAATGGTAGACTAAATCAGACTTCTACTTTTATAATTTTAATCAGCTTTTCTCTCATCTGTATATAAACCAAAATGTTATCTATATGAAAATGACAGTGCTAATGAGTATATACATACTGTGGATTTGTACTGAGTTATAATTTATAACCAAAAAGTTCATATTGGTTATTTGAGAAAGTCTGTGGACAAACTAATCATGAGCAATTTAACAACATTCATTCAGTAAACACTGTACTAGCCACTGGGGATACAAAATGTAACAGTCCCAGTGCTAAGTGGTTTAGCTGCTTTGGAAATGTGTTGTAGCTCCTGAAGAGGTTAAGCACAGTTACCAAAGGATCCACCTAAGAGAAATGAAAATATCTGTCCAATAAAAACTTGTACATGAATGTTCATGGCATTAAACAACCAAAATGTCTAGCAACAGAAAAATGGATAAAATGTGCTATTGCCATGCAAATATTACTCAGCAATGAAATACTGAAACATGGTACAACATTGATGAACCTTGAAAAATAGGCTAAGTGAAAGAAACCAGACAACACAAAATATCACATAGTACTGGGCTCCCATTTATTTGAAATGTCCAAAATAGGCAAATTTGTAGACGAAAAGTAGATCAGTGGTTTCCTGCAGCTGAAGTGTAGGTTGAAAGTGGAGCATGACTGAATGCCCTTTCTAAAACAAGTAAACCTATAATTCATATTTCCTTAAGAAAATAAAAATTTTATTAAATCAAGATTTAATTTACCATGAAGAACACAGAGTTATTATTAGTGCAAGACTTTATTCATCCTCTCCCCAGCCAAATCCCAAGAGGATGGCCACCTTTGGAACTTTTTACTGGCAGCTTACTTAACCTAAGTCAGTCTCCTAATCTAGTGGTCTTTGAAATGGGGATGTATAAGACAACCATTTGACACAGGTAGAAAACTTTTACTTTTTTAAGCCCATTCCCCTGGTAAACAATATATGTACACACCTACATATTTGAGGTATGTGTTCAGGTTTTTACTTATGGGGTCACAATATTTAGGCTTTCCCTTAATTTATTAACAGGATAATAATAGTACTCCAGCTTCAAAAAATTGTGAAAATTAAATGTTAAGTATATTAAATAAAACACATATAATATATACATGTACATATAAAGTATTTAAAATAAAGCCTCACATTTGTGATTAATATATGCTACCTTTAGGAAAATGATTTAACCTTTATGGAAAGGAAAAGAAATTGAGTCCTCACAGAGTTCCAGGCACTTTCATAATCATTTCTAATCCCAAACACTTTCCATGAGAAGTAGTTACTGTCTCCACTTTAGCAATAAGGAAACCTATATTTGGGGATTTAGTACCCAGGAGAGTTGTTTCAGCTAAGTACACAAGACTGAAAAACAGGCTACATGATTTTAACTCCCAGACCTATTTTAGAGTGCAAATACTTTTTTAGAATATTAAGATAAACCTAAATCAAATTTTTTATATAGAAGCTTATGGTCGTGAAAAGTTTATTGGTCAATTTTATTATACTTCCTTTAAAAATTCAAAAGAAAATGTGTTATTTAATAGTTAACCAGCTTTTTCAGATAAACATCTTTCTCCTTCAGCAGAACATTGCTAATTACTATTTCTGTACCCTGTCCCTTTCTATAAAAAATTTCCCAAAATTATACCGTGAAAAAGTGTTCAAGTAAACACTGCTGTTGTGCCTTTTTTTTTTAAACTGGGGGCCTGCCAGTTTTTACGTGCTACAAAGAAAGAAAAAGAGGGGTGATTGGGTGTTGTGGGTTACTGCACTGGAAACAGTGGCTCATACAACTGTCTTGGTGCCCTGAAACAAATAGCTGAGACCAGACCATAGAAATACACAGGAGCAAAGAGCAGCCTCTTAAACCTTCAGGCTAGGTAATGACTTGAGACGATTATGCCCTACATTGTATTACTTGTTCGCACCTTCACAATGGGTAAGTACATTTGTGTCTAGTAAACTAAACTCAGTCCGTTTTTGTATATAAAAGTAGACTTAATCATTGTTAAACTATCTTTCCTTTTTCCTTTAGTCTTTCCATCTACAGCCCACTGGCACTCCAGGCACCTACCTACTTCAAACAAGCTCAAGCCAAGGCCTTCCCCTAACTCTGACTGCTAGTCCCACAGTAACCCTGACAGCTGCTGCTCCTGCTTCTCCTGAACAGATTATTGTTCATGCTTTATCCGTATGTTACATAAATTACTTGATTTTTGAGTACCTGTTATAGACCAGGATTAGTTGATAAGGACCAAAATAGAAGGTAGTTATCTAAACAGTTCTTCCTACTGCTGCTGTTCCAGGCACAGTGTTATACACCATCACTCTGCCTTCACTGGAGTGTATGTTTCATCCCTTCTCTTTATGTAAGATGGCTATACATTAGAATAGGGACATTAGAAGAACAAAGGCCCTAGCAAGTAAAGGACAAGGGTTCTAGAAAAATAGTGATAAAAGTATTTACAGTTTGAGAGGTAAGAGATGTGGGGGGAGACAGTGAGGTACCCCCATAAATGTCATTTGATTTACAACTTTAACAGGTTCTTTAATGTTTTATAGCCAGAACATTTGTTGAACACAAGTGATAATGTTACAGTGCAGTGTCACACACCAAGAGTCATCATTCAGACTGTTGCCACAGAGGACATCACTTCTTCCATATCCCAAGCAGAACTGACAGTCGATAGTGATATTCAGTCATCTGATTTTCCTGAGCCTCCAGACGCCCTAGAAGCAGACACTTTCCCAGATGAAATTCATCACCCTAAGATGACTGTGGAGCCATCATTTAATGATGCTCATGTATCCAAATTCAGTGACCAAAATAGCACAGAACTGATGAATAGTGTTATGGTCAGAACAGAAGAAGAAATCTCTGACACCGACCTTAAACAAGAGGAATCACCCTCTGATTTAGCCAGTGCTTATGTTACTGAGGTAAGTTGTACTTTAAGAACAACTGAATGGATTCTTGCCTTGAGCCTCAAACCTGCAGTTTGGGAAACTTTTTTCTGAAGACTCATGAAATTAAGCTCAAACCCCCAACCTCACACCTCACAAAGTGTTGTCACTGGCAGAAATGGGCAGGCAGTGATCCTGTGGCAGTCAGGAAGAATAAGAAAACCATGTTCTATCTTACCACAGTTCCTCACTAAAACTTTTTCCTCTTTACCTACAATACATTGAGAAATGTTTGTTAGAACCCATAGAAGCATTTTCCTGAGTGGTTAGTAATCTTTGTGGTTCAGCCTAGGAACATCATCCTACACTGTAACAGCATTGTTTCTTCTGTTATATTCAGCTGACCTATAACTGACCTAGTCCTTATGAGTTCCTTTTGTTAAAAGTATGTTAGATTGTGAGGTCATCTTTTGTCCCTGTGAGACCTTAACTTTTTATTTTATATTCTGATTTTTAAATGGGTTATGTTTAAGTCTAACCTATACATACCTATACATGGGATTTTAAGGAAGACTAGTAAGAATATGAGTCAATATTTTTTTTTTAATGTTATTTAGGGTTTAGAGTCTCCCACTATAGAAGAACAAGTTGATCAAACAATTGATGATGAAACAATACTTATCGTTCCTTCACCACATGGCTTTATCCAGGCATCTGATGTTATAGATACTGAATCTGTCTTGCCTTTGACAACACTAACAGGTACTGTAATATAATACTTACTATGTGCCTGATAAATTTTAGATGGAAAAAAACAGACATTTAATTAACTTGTTTCAGTCTTTCTTGATCCAATAAGCTACTAGTCCTGTTGAGTTCTACACTGTGGTAGAATACCTTAAATTCTTGACATGGATTAGAGAATAAATATATACATTTAAGACTAACTTGAAACTCATTACAGATCCCATACTCCAACATCATCAGGAAGAATCAAATATCATTGGATCATCCTTGGGCAGTCCTGTTTCAGAAGATTCAAAGGATGTCGAAGATTTGGTAAACTGTCATTAGAATAATTCTTAGAAATAGGCAGTTCAAGCAAAGAAGGCACACTGTTAATTACAACCTCTTCAAAGAAATAGGAGCAACCCCCAAGAGGCTTAATTTACCAATTTAAATAGCCACAGTCCTTAAGCCACACACATTGTTGCTGCTATGACTTTTTACCTCCTTTAAACACATCATCTGAGGTTGAGTTTTATGACAGTATGTAGTTGAGTGGAGGCTGGGAGTTTTAAGCATAAATCCCTGTTTAGTGTTACATGGGAATAAGGAATTTCATTCACTTCAGCCACTAAGAAAAGTTTAGAATCACGAAAGCTTAACTGCTGTGGTTTAAAGTACAGTTTCTCTAAAGATCAGACATGGCACTGTCTCCTCTCAAGCCTGGTTGTAGTTCAGATGAGTCTTTTCAACATGGTCTTCAACATGGTCTAGAGCTTACCAGTGATCTTCTGATCTTCAAGAAGACTAAGTTTGAGACTTGACCAGCATACAAGTATAGAGACCTAGGAGGTGGTCTTGTGGTGGTACATTTGGTTAACCCATTGCTGGCAGTGGGAGCTGATTTAGGCAGGGTAAACAGGAAAGCATTAAAAGTTAAAATTCACTACAGGTTTTTTGTTACTTTTAAAGGGAATATGGATAAGCATAGTAACAAAACCCACCAGAATCTAAGCAGTTTTCACCCCCTCAGAAACCACTGTCATTAGTTTACAAAGTTAGCACTTTGAAGTAAAACTAAATGAGGAAGGAAGTAATGTTACCTATCCTTGATACCATGACCATTTATTAGATGTTTTGCTATATAAATTACCGAGAGAATAGTTTGTCATCCACTTAGTGTGTTAGCTGGTGGGGTACAATATAACCTCTCATCTCAGGCTATTTTAAAAAAACAATATTTGCTTCTATAACAAAAGGAAACAAATCTAAGAATCATTCCTGTACTACAGAAGGGTTAAGGCAAAGGTAGCCTTTTGGGCTTTTTAATGAATATGACCCCTATAGAAAAGTCAAGAAAAAAAAACCCTTGTATAAATTATTTTATTTATTATTGTAATTAGATCTTCACAAAGTTGTCTTTTCACTGTGTTTTGTCAACGTGAAATTAAATTGTAGTTATAAGCAAAAGTTGGTTGCCTAGGGAACAATTGTATATTCAGTTTAACAGAAATAAAAGAATATTTGTCTTAAGATGCAAGATTTGTTTTTACATAGCCTTTTGCCATACAATTATAAAAATTTCATTTCAAAAGTGAAATTTTTTTGTGCTGTTTTAGCTTTAAGGGTTGGAATGTTTAGGTGCAACATCAGCTCCTTAAAGAAAAAGCAAAGTGATCTAGGATATGTCTCCCTTGCAAGAGGGAATTAACATTTACAATTAACATGAAAATCATGTATCAGACTTCTGCAGGAGATTCTTCAGCATACCTTATCCAAAAATTACTCACTGTCCTAATGTATCATTTTGAAGAGTCCTGGTAAGTACTTCTCCTTGGCAGCCTCACCTTCCCACATCATGGAAGTACAGGTTTGCACATATACACAACATGATGATAGAAAATATGATATAGTAAATTAGCTTTCTAAATTTCGGTTCTAAGTCTCCTTGTCGATACCAGTAGATCTAAAAGAAGAATTAAAGTTTATAAATTAAAATTTGAAATATAACATTTTCTCTACCAATTTCAAATTTCATTAGTATTTGTTTATTCCCCTAAATGAGACAGACATTCTCCATATTCTGAGGTCTCTACATTCCTGAGATCAGTACAGCCAGAATTTAATTCTTACTCTGAGTTTCCACATCCAAGATCATACTTATTCCTACTTTCTCAGTTTACTTTCCTCTATATTCACACCTGTATACTCCACCAGTCATCTGGCAAGCTATCCAAGAACATATACCTGGGCATACTACTTAACAGGAAAGGAAGACAACATTTAGACTCATGATTCATACAGTTGGTTCAGACCGTAAAATAGGGCTTCCATAATATATTTGGATTAAACTAGTTCATTGTCTGTTAGTCACTTTAGGCTTCAAGCTAGGGGAACAGGAAAGCTCCCAAAGTGGGATGGGCTAGTTCTTCTTCGGGTCATGGGAGTATATAGCAGGATCAGTGAATGAGAACACTTGGAGGTGTCTCCTGGTTTAATTAATTTTAACTCAGATAAGCAAATTACTATTGTTTTTTCTTTTGATTCTGCCTCTAAAGGAACATGAAACAATGTAGCCAACTAATGAATGAACACTGAGGAGCCACCACCATCTTTGTTTCTTCACCATAAAAGAAACATTTGCAGTAAATCAAACATTTTTACAACAACTGCAGCTTTAGATTTCCCAGGAGGTTTTGGTGTTAATACCTCCATTTTGGGAAACAAACATGTAGATTAAACTAATTTTGTAATAATTAGAATTAAATCCAGAGTGCTCTATCTCTTCCCTTAGCAGTAACTGGCATTTCCCAAAGACTGTTGGCCCTTACGTAGTCCTTGAGTGAAGATGAATTAAGTAAATTAAAATCTTTGGCCACCTACGTCTTTCCACTAATTTTTTTTTTTTTTTTTTTTTTTTTTTTAAGCTATCAAGGGAGTGGAATTTCTCTTTGGGGTTACAACTTTGGGATTTAGGAGAAAAGGAGAAGACTCAGATTTTATTGAGAATTCTAACATACTTTTAGGGGGAGGATGAGGATATAATTAAGAGATACCCTTTTGTATAGACCCAAGGCTGAAAATTTTTGTCCTGTGCATTGCAACTTAAACCCTCAAGAACACTGTTTAAATTCTCAACAGTACTTACAAGTATGCAGGCAGTAATACTACTCAAAGAGATGCAGACAGCAAAGAATATATTCAACGGTTTTGGAGGTAGTTGAGGGAAAACAAAAGCACTTATCAGCGTTACCTGTATGAAGAGAAATTATGTAAGGCCTTAACAGTAATTCCAAGACTTGGTAATTACCAACTGGAGTCTAGGCAACAGTACTACAAAATGCTTCATGTTATAAAATTACATCTGCCACCAAGTTTGCTTTCTAGAATGTTAATACAGTAATTATAAATATGTTCGAGTTATTTTAGTACTTCTTTTCTAAACTTTCCCTTACTTATGAAAGGAGAGAAAACATCAGTAATACTAGCTGATGCCAAAATAACTTCATTAACTAAACCTCACTCCCAGGATTAATGATTCTGCTGGTAAAAGTTCTAGCCATTTTGTTATTTTAAATATTTCTAGCAAAATGAATATAATCAAAGCTGGTTTTGCTATAACATTATGAAACACACTGAAAGACTTCTAATGTTGTATAGTTCTGTTTCTAACAGATGCAGCATTATATGCAATCTTTTCATTAAGAAGCCATGGAAAAAAATTCTCTTAAATTTAATGTGCCAGAAAAATGTCAAACTATGGAAAATACAGCTTTTAAAAATTTTATTGTAATAGCTCCCAGATGTATACTGTATACAGGATGTATACAGTACAACTACTATACACTGTGACCAAATCTTTTAAAACTTGACCAAAGGGTAATGGATATGTTCTTCAGGAACAAAATAGAAATGGGGAATTATGGTAGATGACAGAAGGAAGTGGCTACTAGCCACTGACATTTTTACAAATTTACTAGGCAAAACATGGTAAACTCAATTATCTTAAAACGAAGTTGTCTGACTTGTACCATTTCACATATTCAACCTGGGGGTGGGGCAGAATTAAATTAGCTACTCCAATTAGCAACTGCAATTTTGTGGTAATAAAATTAAAAGCACTTATTTAGCTTTTTTTGGAAAGTTAACCATAATTGATAAAGTTTTCAAAACTGGCTAAGAGCCTGGGTGAGGCACAAAATGAGGATACTTACTAGAATCAATAAGGATGTTAAGCTGCCAACAACTAAATTGATGATTCGATCCTGAAAGAGAAAAGAATTTTTAAGCCATATGACTTGGATCCATGTTACCTTCAGTATAGTACAATGCAAGGCATTTGGATGGTTTACTATAAAGAAACCCAAGATCCAGTCCTCTGAGCTTTACACATAAAACTACCAGACAAAGCAAAGTGTACTGAACCATAAGAGTGGAAAATGTACTTTGGGAAAATGGCCAACTGGGGAAGGTTTCTTGAAGGGACAGAACATTTATACTAGAGTCTTGATTGGGTAGTATCAAATGGGTAAGGGAGGCTTACAAATAATGCATGTGCTGCTGAGGATAGCATAAGCCAAAGGAGAAGGACAGGCACTGCAGGAATGGCCAGGCCAGAGCATTGGTTAAAGGTATCAGGAACCGGACTAGATGTAGAGTACCATGATGTGTCTGGAACTATATTTGTAATACAGCTTAGGTATCCTTGTCTAGTCTAAAAATAGATGCTACTGTTAAAAGGGATGGGTCCTAGAGTGCCAAGGCTTGGCACTTGCAATCTTAAGAGACCATCCAGTCCAGTAGTTTTTCCAAGTTATTTAATAGTGAAGGGCTTTAGTATATAAACAAAATATTGGTTGAATGAAGAACCTACCTACTGAGCTTTCTTGTCATTCCCATCCCACCCCAACCAACAAAGAATGTTTGAAAAACTGATCCAATCCTAATTTTACAGGTTAAACTAAATTTAGGCCCAGTGTGGTTAAATTATTTTCTAAGAGTCATAACAAGTTAGAAGCAATTTTGAAACCAGAGATTCCTAAATCCAGGTCACTGGTTAGAAGTAGTTTCAGGTACTACTAAAAAGGTAAAGTATGATAGTGACATGCAGTCTTATTTCTGAGAAGTCAAAGCTGAGTCTTTAACGAATCAGTCGTCTTAAATGTTGTTTTGATAATGGTCTGAGCAGAGAATGGCAGGATATGGAACATGCCGCCAATAAACAAAACCTCAGAGATGGGAAGGACACAGGAACAATCACAGAGCAGCAACCGAATTCTCATTTCCAAGTAGTCGCCTTTTAAGGATAAGAACCCACAGAAGTTAAGAGTCAGGCAAAATTGGGAGGGAAAGAGTAAGAAAGCCAAGTATTGGATGTGTGTGATCTAACCAAGGACAAATCACAACTCTCCAGACCAAGGCCACTGCAACTGAAAGGTTACAGAACAAAAGATACTGGACTCCAGCCACACCCTAACTCCAGAGGACTCAGAAGAGATCTTACCACGACCTCAGCTAGAGAAGCCTACACAGCACACAGGAGCCTGAACTTAGGACCACTTTGTTAGGAAAGGGACCCAGGGACAAGTCACCACTCACTTTAACTTCTTCCCACATGGGACAACATAAAATGTGTAGAGAGACAAAATCCATGGGAGCCCCACTATTTTTGAGAAGCAAGAATATCTGCTGCTCTCTGAGCGCCAGGGATTTCCAAAATGAAGCACTGCATACCTCATAACAGCTCCCACCAATAGAAGTCAAGCCAATATATCACTAATTGCCAAATGACACACAGCAAGTTGCCTACCAGGATCAAAGTAGGAGAAAAATAATGGTAAAAGGATATTAACTATGCCAAGCACATTCACCAATCCTCTCTTTAAAAATTCTAGGATGAAATGGTAATATGACTGTTTCACAGGTAGCAAAACAGGCTCAGGGAAACTGAGAACTTTCCCAAGATCTCAATACCATTAAGTGATAAAGACAAGATTCAGTGCCAGGCCTCCTTTCCCTATTTATGCTTCTCACCCAAAGAACAACCTAGAGTGCTAGTGCTGGTCTAGACAAAGATGTCAAGTGGCAGATGACACCTCAAAAAGCCTATTAGCAAAGTACTACACTGTGCTTACCTTTCAAGAATGATTTCCTCATGGGTGACTTTGTTCCACATTTTTGGATTTCTCCATATAACTGATTTTAATCATCCTGATGAAAATATATCTAAACTTTAATGAATACTTTCCTGCCTACCTTTTAGATAGTCACTGAACAGAATTCCAACAGATTTTCATGAATATCAGTTATTGTTATAATGTAGTGGTCCCCTCTGGGATTCCCAAGATGGGATGAACTATTTCGGACATGGCAGAAGTGTTTCTCAGAATATTTTCTTTCTCCAAGCCAAGGCCTTCTATCAACCATGAATTCAGGTATGCAGAGTTAACTTCAGAAGCCCTCCTACTTCTAATGCTCTCTGTTTTAAACTTGCTACTCAAAGTGTAGTCTATGAACCAGCACATCGGCCTCACCTGAGAGAACTGCAAGAAATGCAGAATCTTAGGCCTCACTGAGACCAACTGAATCAGAATCTGCGTTTTAACAGGATCTGGTAATTTATGTGCACATTTAAAATGGAGAGGCTGTGCTCTAAAGTTTAGTCTAAAATAAGCCATTTTTAAATATTAAGTTCAAATCACAGGGTACAGCTCCTTCCCTGGGCCTAGAGATTATTTTTCAGGGTTTTAGCAGCTCTTCTAGCTCCCAATCTCCAAAGAGGATAATAGAGAATAATTAAATAGCTAGTTAATTAACACTTCAAAGGACAGTTTGGGGAATAATATGCTCCAAATTGGAGCTAGAGTACATGGAGAAAAGTGAGTAATACATTTAAACTTTGCTGTTTATGGAGTAAATTGAAACTCATTATTTCTACTTCTACAGCTAGTCTCTATTAACTCAATTATTTCTCACAGAAACTAGCTCTGTCTCCTCCCCAGTTTTATTTTCACTCTAGTTCTACCTACCATAACTTGTCTCTCCTACCAGAATTTTAAACCTTGTACTGTGGCTTATTTTCACTCCACAAGGAAGCTTGACAGGACAAAGGATGGCAATTAGCCTGGATCCTTGCCTGCTGAGAGGACAGGATACAGATTTAGGATTTCCTTCCCAGAGACAAAATATTCTGCAACAGGTTTAGAGATAGTCTGAATTCATATATACATGAACATAAAGACAGACGTTGTGTGCATACATACATGTATATATATAGTTGAGATTTCACCTATATCATCTTGTAAGTCATATATTTATGCATTTAAACATTATCTACTATAATTCAGATGCAAATACAAAAGTGAATAAAAACATCTCTACCTTCCAGAAGTTTACACTATCCAGAGTTCAGGAGGGCACTAAGAAGACAGAAAGTGAGCTATCTTGGACAGTCAAGGAGAGACTACCAGAGAAGTCAAAACCCTGAGGAAGACTAGCAGATGAAAAGGAAAGGAAAGATGGTTCATGAAAGGAATTCCACAAAGACCCATGGGAGAACAAAAGCATTGCTGTTACAAAAAATCAATGGGACAAATGGAGATTGTTGACCAAGTTTCATGAGAGCTGAGAGGAAAAGAGCTGGAATGCAATGCACAGTGAAGAGCCTGGGCCTGACGGATTCATGTCTTTGTCTTCCTTTAGAATGAGGAAGGAGAAAAAGATGGAGATATATGCAACTGGTTTGTATCTGGAATGGTGGAAAGCAAGTAAGGAGTGTTATCTCTATTTACCAATGGGTAACTAGGTTCCAGAAGACTGACTTGCCAAAGGTCACACGGCTAGGTAATGGCAAAAAATCTCCTATCCAATGCTGTTCACAAAAGACAAGTGTAATGAACAGTTCAAAAGGTCTAACAGTCCTAAAACTAATAAATACAGACCTTAACACGGTCTAGAAACCAAGGTTCTCATCTCATTCTGCCACTAGCTAGCTTCGTAACCTCAAAAGGATTCCTTAACCCATTTGACTCTATCAAATGAGAAGACTGGGCTAAATGATACCTGGTCCCTTTCAGTTCTTACACTTTATGGTTCTGAATCACCAGACTGCACTTGGGCCAGAGAAGGACTAATCCCCTAGTGATTAAAAGCCAGAGAACCCCTATACTTGCCTGGTCAGTCATTAGCCAGCATCTGCTAGAGAAACTAAAACTCAAATGATCAGGTGGTAACAATGGCCCTGGGAGGAAACTGGCAATAACATCCCAAATAACCAAAAGCTAGCTCTGCCCTCAGCTCCTCAGCTCCCTGGAAATATCCTGGTTCTAAACAGTTTGGAATGCTTACAAGCGACATTGTATTCAGCCTTCCATTTCCATGGCAATGTTTTGCCTACTTCCAAAATGAATTTCAAGGGCATGTGCTACTATAATAAAACCCTAACCTAACTAACCAACAATAAAAAGACCAAGACAAAATTTCGAAAAGGCTTTGGGGAATGGTGGAATGGGGGGGAAAAAAAGCTAAAGAATCTACAAAGGCCAGGCATGGTGGCTCACACCTGTAATCCCAGCACTTTGGGAGGCCAAGGTGGGAGGATCACTTGAGTTCAGGGATTCAAGACTAACCTGAGAAAAATACTGAGACCTTGTATCTACAAAAAAAATATAAAAATTATCTGGGTTTGATGACATGTGCCTGTAGTCTCAGCTACTTGGGAGGCTGAGGTGGGAGGATCACTTGAGTCCAGGAGGTCAAGAGTGCAGTGAGCAAGGATCACGCCACTGCACTCCAGCCTGGACAGAATGAGAATCTTAAAAAAAAAAAAAAAAATTGTCTTAAAAAACATTTCTCATTTAAACGCAAATGTTTGTATGAAGATTTCTGACAGCCAAGTGGGAAGTACAACAGAATTTTAAGTTCTAACTAATAATAAAAGTAAGCATACTGGATAGAGTCAAAATTCTCCTGGCTCTAAAAAGAATTTGTCCCATGGGTCAGAACAAATCTAGGTACACAGAAAATATAGATAATTCATACACAATCATTTCTTATATTGGTCCATAAAAAAATCCCAAAGGCATAATGTCAACTCATTTCCCAAAAAAGCAAGCTCTGGCATGGTTAAAATGCTACTCCCAATTTTGACTACTCATCTGTATTAGTTTCCACACTGCTGATAAAGACATACCCAAAACCAGGTAGTTTGTAAAGAAAAAGAGATTTAATGGACTCACAGTTCCACATAGCTGAGGTAGCCTCACAATCATGGCATACAGTGATAGGCACGTCTTACATGATGGCAGGCAAGAGAGAAAATGAGAGCCAAGCAAAAGGGGAAACCCCTTATAAAATCATCAGATCTTGTGAGACTCATTCACTACTACGAGAACAGTATGGGGGAAACCGTCCCCATGATTCAGTCATCTCCCACCAGGTCCCTCCCACAACACATGGGAATTATGGGAGCTACAATTCAGGAGGAGATTTGGGTGGAGACACGGCCAAACCACACAATTTCATCCCTGGCCCCTCCCAAATCTCATGTCCTCACATTTCAAAACCAATCATGCCTTTGCAACAGTCCCCCAAAGTCTTAACTCATTTCAGCATTAACTCAAAAGTCCACAGTCTGAAGTCTCATCTGAGACAAGTCCACCTATGAGTCTGTAAAATCAAAAGCATGTTAGTTACTTCCTAGATAAAATGGGGGTACGGGCATTGAGTAAATACACACATTCCAAATCAGAAAAACTGGCCAAAATAAAGGGGCTACAGGCCCCATGCAAATCCAAAAACCAGCAGGGCAGTCAATTTTTAAAGCTCCAATGTCTCACATCCAGGTCATGCTGATGCAAGAGGTAGGTTCCCATGGTCTTGGGTGGCTCTGCCCCTGTGGCTTTGCAGGGTACAGCCTCCCTCCCAGCTGCTTTTACAGGCTGGCCTTGAGTGTCTGTGGCTTTTCCAGGCACATGGAGCAAGTTTCGGTGAATCTACCATTCTGGCATCTGGAGGATGGTGGCCTTCTCACAGCTCCACTAGGCAATGCCCCATGGGGACTCTGTATGGGAGCTTCAACCCCACATTTCCCTTCCTTGCTGCCCTAGCAGAGGTTCTCCATGAGGGCCCTGGCCCTGCAGCAACCTCTGCCTGGACATCCAGGTGTTTCTGTATGTCCTCTAAAATCTAGGCAAAGGTTCCCAAACCTCAATTCTTGACTTCTGCGCACCTGCGGACCCAGCACCACATAGAAGTTGCCATGTGCAGCTCTGAAGTCATGCCCTGAGCTGTACCTTGGCCCCTTTTAGCCATGGCTAGAGCTGCTGGGACACAGAGCACCAAGTCCCTAAGCGGCATACAGCAGAGGGGGGCCTGGGCCCAGCCCACAAAACCATTTTATCCTCCTAGGCCTCTAGGCCTGTGATGGGAGGGGCTGCCTCAAAGGTCTCTGACATGGCCTGGAGACATTTTCCCCATTGTCTTGGGGATTAACATTTGGCTCCTCTTACTTGTGCAAATTTCCACAGCTGACTTAGATTTCTCCTCAGGATTTTTTTTTTTTTTCTATTGCATTGTCAGGCTGCAAGTTTTCTCCTTAGGAATTTTTTTTGTTCTATTGTACTGTCAGGCTGCAAATTTTCCAAACTTTTATGCTGTGTTTCCCTTTTAAAACTTAATGCTTTTAACAGCACCTAAGTCACCTCTTGAATGCTTTGCTGCTTAGAAATTTCTTCTGCCAGATACCCTAACTCATCTCCCTCAAGTTCAAAGTTCCACAAATCTCTAGGGCTGGGGCAAAGTGCCACCAGTCTCTTTGCTAAAACATAACAAGAGTCACCTTTACTCCAGTTCCCAACAAGTTCTTCATCTCCATCTGAGACCACCTCAGCGTGAACCTTATTGTCCATATCACTATCAGCATTTGGTCAAAACCAATCAACAAGTCTCTAGGAAGGAAACTTTCCCACATCTTCCTGTCTTGTGAGCCCTCCAAGTCTCTAGGAAGTGCCAAACTTTTCCTATCTTCTTCTGAGCCCTCCAAACTGTTCCAACCTGCCTGTTACCCAGTTCCAAAGTTGCTTCCACATTCTCGGGTATCTTTACAGCAGCACCCCACTCCTGGTACCAATTTATGTATTAGCCCGTTTTCACACTGCTGATAAAGACATACCTGAGACTGGGTAATTTATAAAGAAAAAGAGATTTAATGGACTCACAGTTTCAAGTGGCAGAAGGCAAAAGATAACGTCTTACATGGTGGCAGGCAAGAGAGAAAATGAGAGCCAAGCAAAAGGGGCTTCCCCTTATAAAATCATCAGATCTCATGAGACTTATTCACTACCACAAGAACAGTATGGGGGAAACTGCCCCCATGATTCAATTATCTCCCACCGGGTCCCTCCCACAACACGTGGGAATTATGGGAGCTAAAATTCAAGATGACATTTGGGTGAGGACACAGGCAAACCATATCATCATCCTTCAGAACTCAACACTATCAACTTCACTGTAAATCCTTTCTGGACACCACCCTGGGCACCTCCCCTCAGAGCACCCACATCACTTTGCTCAGTCTTTACACTTAACTGCATCAAAATGTATTGCTTGTGTCCCACACTGGCATTTAATGATGGGAAAGACAGTCTACAAGTAGTCCCCCTTACCGGCAGGGGATACACTCCAAGACCACCAGTGGATGCCTGAAACCACAAATAGTACCAAACCCTATACATACTGTTTTTTCAATCAGATAACAGAGATGGCTACTAAGTGACTAACAGGCAGGTAGCATCTACTGGACAAAGGGATGATTCACATCCCCAGCAGGAGCAGGACAGAGTGAGAGTTAATCATATTACATAGAACAGTGCACAGTTTAAAACTTACAAATTATTTCTGAAGTTTTCCATTTAATATTTTTGGACCATGGCTGACCACAGGTAACTGAAGCCTAGAAAAGTGAAGCTGTGAATTAGTGGGAACTACTACACTTGTTTTCCTTCTTGACAGTGTGGCACACTGTAAGCACTCAATGAATGTTCGTTAAATGAAAGACTCAAAGCAGAAATGGCCAACGGTATTTTCTTTAGAATGCCTCTCACCAGTAGAGACCATTCATCTCATCTTACCACTTAGGGCCTGGCCTATCAATAGGAACATAATGTGCCTCACTGCTGCAGGGCAGGCATGCAATGGCACCACAGAAGCTGTGGCCTGATCCTGCAGACCAACAGGTCACGGTCTGCCAGCCACAAAGGTGCAACACCCTAACAGATACCTCCCAGGCTAGGCTCTGTTGTTCCCAAAGAAATATCAATGGTAAACAATGGGGATCTCTGAGGTCCACGTTTTCCTGAGTAGAAGCCCAGTTACTTTCTGCTAGGGCAGGACCAAGGACTGATTTATAAGGCATCACAGCTCTGAACTCCAGCTGACAAATCAATCCTTCGGCAATGCTCCCCAACACTCCCAGAGAGGGGCAAGGCAAAACAGAGAAAAGTCTTTGCAGAAAAGCAAAAGCCGGCCGGGCGCGGTGGCTCACGCTTGTAATCCCAGCACTTTGGGAGGCCGAGGCGGGCGGATCACGAGGTCAGGAGTTCGAGACCATCCTGGCTAACACGGTGAAACCCCGTCTCTACTAAAAATACAAAAAAATTAGCCGGGCGTGGTGGCGGGCGCCTGTAGTCCCAGCTACTCGGGAGGCTGAGGCAGGAGAATGGCGTGAACCTGGGAGGCGGAGCTTGCAGTGAGCCGAGATTGCGCCACTGCACTCCCACCTGGGCCACAGAGCGAGACTCCGTCTCAAAAAAAAAAAAAGAAAAGCAAAAGCCTGGATGGACAATGCCATGAAGACATTCCCTACTACATTCTTGAGGGAGAAGGCAGGGTAGAGGGTGGAGGAAGATTGAGAACTCCATTTTTGGTGTTACTTCTAAACTTTCTATGTGATTCTACAAAAGTCTTTCTCCTCAGACAGCATCGCAGGGAGTCCTATAGACCCACATCCCTTACCAGGTGCTCAATCCGATTTCCAGGTTAGACCTCACACCTTCAAGTGTCCTCCTCTGTCAGACATCCTACCCCTGGGAAGCTGTTCCACATGAGCAAACTGCATCCTAACAGAGCTCATGCCCCTGTGTACTCAGCCAGAGCTCATGAGACTTATTTACCACCACGAGAACAGTATGGGGGAAACCAACCCCATGATTCAATCATCTCCCACCGGGTCCCTCCCACAACACATGGGAATTATGGGAGCTACAATTCAGGAGGAGATTTGGGTAGAGACACAGCCAAACCATATAATTTCATCCCTGGCCCCTCCCAAATCTCATGTCCTCACATTTCAAAACCAATCATGCCTTTGCAGCAGTCCCTAAAGTCTTAACTTATTTCAGCATTAACTCAAAAGTCCACAGTCTGAAGTCTCATCTGAGACAAGTCCACCTATGAGTCTGTAAAATCAAAAGCAAGTTAGTTACTTCCTAGATACAATGGGAGTATAGGCATTGGGTAAATACACACATTCCAAAATCAGAAAAACTGGCCAAAACAAAGGGGCTACAGGCCCCATGCAAATCCAAAAACCAGCAGGGCAGTCAATTTTTAAAGCTCCAATGTCTCATATCCAGGTCATGCTGATGCAAGAGGTAGGTTCCCATGGTTTTGGGCGGCTCTGCCCCTGTGCTTTTCAGGGTACAATTCTGATACTTTCTTTGAAAACCCAGCTCCAGGTCACCCCCAAACCTCCAACCACTTCTAGATACCAGCAATAGGCCTTGCTCTGAAGTCTTTAAGCTATCCTAACTACAAATGTCAGTTTACTCCTCTGTCTCTTCCTCTACCTTGGAAGGTCTGGGAAGGTAAGGACCATGTCTTCCTTGTTCACTGTTGAATTTTGGGCCACCGTATATGGCTATATAGCTGAAGTTCAGCCCAATGTTGCACTTTCCAAGTTTTGCAGCCTGGCATCAGCCTGCATCTACCCAGAGGCAACAGCACATTTTTCTAATTCAGACAAAGCCAAGCCACATGTTTTTGAGGGCTCCCACTACCCAGGGTGTAAATACTCTAACGATTGTACAAAGGTGCCACCGTATGGCTGGGTGATGGCCCTGGCCATATCCCTCTGCCAACCACGATGGCTAGCAGGAGAGATAATCAATATTAGTTGAAATAACACACTAACTGGGCTTACTACAAACTCATGTTTTCTATCCTCACCTGGGCCTTCACTGTATTTCCATGGCCTCTTATTTTGGGTGGACTGCCCCTGCTTCTCTCTGGGAAGTGGTTTGAAGCTCCAGCTTTCCTCAGGTTCCCAGTCCTACCCTTGAAGCCTTTACATCCATTCTCACACTACTAGAAAGAACTACCTGAGACTGGGTAATTTATAAAGAAAAGAGGTTTAACTGAATAACAGTTCCACATGGCTGGGGAGACCTCAGGAAACTTACAATCATGGTGGAATGTGAAGGGGAAGCAAGCTACATATTACATGGCAGCATGAGGGGGTGGGAAAGGGTGGGAATGAGGGAGACTGGGGAGAAGAGGTTGAGAGGGGGGAAGAAGAGGGGAAGAGAGAGAGGTGGGAGAGAGACAAAGACATAGTGAATGAGAGAGCGAGAGTGAAAGAGAGTGAGACAGAGATTGAGACAGTGAGACAGACAGAGTGAGACAGAGAGTGAGATAGTGAGAGAGAGAGAGAGAGAGTGAGAAAGACAGTGAGAGAGAGAGTGAGAGAGAAAGTGAGAGACAATGAGAGAGACAATGAGAGAGAGACAGTGAGAGAGACAGTGAGACAGTGAGAGAGAGAGAGACAGAGAGAGAGACTGAGATAGAGAGCGAGAGAGACAGTGAGAGACAGAGCGAGAGAGAGCGAGAGCGAGACACAGCGAGAGAGCGAGACACAGTGAGAGCGAGACACAGTGAGAGCGAGACACAGTGAGAGCGAGACACAGAGCGAGACAGTGAGAGCGAGACAGAGCGAGACAGTGAGAGCGAGACAGAGCGAGAGACAGTGAGAGAGCGAGAGACAGTGAGAGAGAGACAGTGAGAGCGAGAGAGAGAGAGAGCAAGAGACAGTGAGAGCGTGAGAGACAGTGAGAGAGTGAGAGACAGAGAGAGAGGACAGTGAGAGAGAAACAGGAGGGGGACAGAGAGACAGAGGAGGGGGAGGGGGGACAGAGAGAGAGACAGAGGAGAGGGAGGGGGGACAGAGAGAGAGGAGGGGGAGGAGGTGACAGAGAGACAGAGGAGGGGAAGGGGGGACAGATGGGGAGGGCGGGAGCGGGGAAGCGTGTGGGAGCGGGGAACTGCCACATGCATTTAAACCATCTGATGTCATGAGAACTCGTTCATGAGACAGCACTGGGGGATGGTGCTAAACCATTAGAAACTGCCCCCATGACCTGATCACGTCCCTCCCTGCCCCTCAACATGTGGAGATTACAATTTGACATGAGATTTGGGTAAGGACACAGCCAAACCATGTCATTCAGCCCCTGGGCCCTCCGAAACCTCATGTCCTTCTCACATTTCAAAACCAATCATGCCTTCCCAACAGTCCCCCCGAAGTCTTAACTCATTCCAGCATTAACTCAAAAGTCCAAGTCCAAAGTCTCATCTGAGACAAGGCAAGTCCCTTCCACCTATGAGCCTGTAAAATCAAAAACAAGTTAGTTACTTCCAAGATACAATGGGGGTTACAGGCATTGGGTAAACAGACCCATTCCAAAAGGGAGAAATCAGCCAAAATGAAGGGGCTACAGGCCCCATGCAAGTCTAAAACCCAGCAGGGCAGTCATTAAGTCTTAAAGCTCCAAAATAACCTCCTTTGGCTCTATGTTTCACATCTAGGCCACACTAATGCAAGGAGTGGGCTCCTAAGGCCTTGAGCAACTCCACATGGCCCTGTGGTTCTGCAGGGTACAGCCCCCACAGCTGCTTTCACAGGCTGGCGCTGAGTGTCTGTGGCTTTTCCAGGCATACAATGCAATCCATAACGGCTCCCCCTTGCAGCAGACTTCTGGACATCCAAGCATTTCCATACATCCTCTGAAATCTAGGCGGAGGCTCCCAAACTCTTGCCTTCTGTGCACCCACAGACCCAACAGCACGTGGAAGCCACCAAGGTTTGGGGCTTGGACCCTCTTAAGCAACAGCTCAAGCTATATCTTGGCCCCTTTTAGCCACAGCTGGAGCTGGAGCAGCTGTGACACAGGGCACTGGAGTCCAGGACCTGATCCACAAAACCATTTTTCCTTGACAGGCCTCAGGGCCTGTAGTGTGGGGGCTGCTGTGAAGCTCTCTGAAATTCCCTGGGGACATTTTCCCCATTGTCTTACCTATTAACATTCAGCTCCTCAACTGCATCTCATTATTGGGCCACCAGAAATAGCAGCCTGACCCTCAGTTTGGTCTAGGAACAATACCTCCAGGCACTTTGTTCTTCCTTTTATAAAAGGCTCAATCCCATTTTATACTCATCCCTTACCCTCCCTACCCACGAGTTCCTCAGGCCACTGAAGACAGTGATTGTCTTCTCCTGGGATGGGGAAAGAGCAAGGCAACACATTGAGCAGGTATTAAATGCCCAAAGGGTGCTACTTCCTACCATTGTTTACCTGGACTGAGTGATTCAGACCCTTGAGCCACATCCTACAATTTTGCCTCCAAAGTTCTGCATTTCTCAAGCAAACTTAAGGGTCCCAATACCATAAATAAAAGTTTGATTCTCAGAAATGACTTTGCTTCTCTTCTTCCAAATCACAACTTCTCACCATGAAAGCTGTGTAAGTGGCCCAGTCAGAAGCCTAAGGGGCCAGGAAAAAGCATAACGAGAGGATGCAAAATGTGGGAGAAGGTTTATTTTGAGCCCAGCTGAATAAAGAAACCTCAGGCCCTGTGTCCAGGGATTTAATATGGGTCCCTCAGAGCAGCATGGCTCTGACTGTACAGGAGCTTCCCCTTGCACTGTCACTAGAGACAACCGGAGGTATAGCAGCCACACAGGTGGAAAGCAAGGAGACATTCTGTCTCACTGGCTAACTCTAGGACGCCGCGAATTATGACCCATAGGTACTACTGCTCTGAGACTTCCCAAAGCAACACCAGACTTTGAACAGTGCCGAGAGCACGGGATGTGCAAGAGAAAGCATTTATGAGAATTTGGGCACACCCACCCTTTACAACTTTTACACTCGATTCTCTCCCAAACACATGACCTCCACTGCTACATGTGGACCTGTATTTTAAAAGTTACAACTTTTAAGCCTTAGTTTTCATATTTGTACAATGTCTACCATGTGAAGTCGTAATAAGGATTAGAAGAGAATACATAGAAAGCCCCTACAAGAGAGTATCTGACATTCAGTAGAGGGTCAGTAAATGGCAGCTAATATGGTATTTGCACTATTTATACCATGTCTAAGGGGGAATCTTACCAATGAGAGATCAGGCTCCTCAGAGCTGAGAGAGCTGAGCTGGCTTCACACCCTGGCCCCAATTTCTATGGCAGCTCCAATTTCAAATGCATTCCACCATTCTCACAGGGACACTGAGGTTTATCCACCCATATGTCCCTTCAGCAACTCAGAAAATATGGTCACTATACCCATACATAGCCTATGAGCCAACTATAAGAAAAAAGTGACTCAATTCAGTAAGCAAAGGATATTACCAAAGACCAGCAAAAATCACATCCAGAGAAAACTCAGTAGACCATCAGCTTCTGAGAGACCAGACCTCAGTTTAAGTTTTTTTTAATACAATATTTTATTTACTACTGGCCTCTGCTACATACAACTTAGCAGAAAGAAAAAGAGAAAAATGATTTTAATTGCATGAGAGCTTGAAGCACCATTTCCTGTTTTGATATCTAGCATATCCAGGTTTCTAAACAGTCCCTGCCTTCTACTGTGAGCTCAGAATGTCCCAAGAATGTAGGTTACTTTTTGATAACGCTAAATTCTCACTTTGCTTAAAACTTAATATACATGAAATCAAGAACTTGGTAAGTCATTGTCCCTAGGGCTAAAAAGGCTACAAAAATGAGGAAACTGGCACCTACCATTAAAGAAGAGCTTATTCTATAGTTAGGAGGCAAGACCTACACAAGTCCCTCACAGCACAAGGAGTAAGTGCCAGGGCACATCTTTGACAGCCAGGCTCACAGAAGGAAAGTGAGAAGAGACTGGATTACAGGGAAGGTTCTAAAGTAGGGAATCAGACTGAGCAGAATTCAGATATTTAGAGAAGAGAGGACACAGCAGAAAGGAGAACGACATTTATGAAGAGCAAAGAGGCAGCTAAAAGAAGGGGTCCATGGAGAGGTATTAGCCTGGACTGGGCTTACACACAGCAAGAGTAAGGCCAGTGCATCTCAACCCTTCCTATGCACCAGCATCCCCTGAGGACCTTCCAGAAATACCAGTGCCTAGGCCCCACACCCAGAGATTACAGTCCACTGATCTAGGGGTGGAAGAGAGAAAACTTAGAGTACTAAAGAAAAAGTGATGGCATTTATTTTTCTTAATTACTTTTCTAGCACACACAAAAAAAGGCAAAGTTGTTTTGGCAGGCTGAATGAGAGGAGAGGAGAGAACTGTTTCACCTTTGGGTGACTAACCCTCCTTTGAGAGAAATAGCTGTGCTTGATCACCTAGAAGCTCTATCTAGAGGAAATAAACTAAAGCCTGCACTCCTCAGAGAATAGCATTGGTAGCTCTAAGACAGAGGAAGGGGCTGCTGGCACAGACCCAGCTATCTTAATCATAGCTTTATTCTTTTTCTCTTCTTTGCATTTTTAAAAATTATTTTATTACCATCCCTACTGATCCTTGTTCTTAAATAAGCGACAACAAAAATGGCATGAAGTAGCAACTCTAATCTTACATGATTATTTGCAGAGGCCAAATGCTCCAAGTTTGAATTGCTTGACTAACACTAATCATAAAAAGCCCTTGCTTTTCACCGTCTTTGTTTTCTTCTTTTTTTTTTTATTGGGGGGATGGGGATAAAGGAAGATACTTTTGTCTTTGGAACCAAAGATCTGAGCCTCAGAGCCCACTACACTTGCCCCCTCCACAGAGGGCCTCCCTCTCACTATGGTATCTACTGAGGAATTCAGTGTATGTACCTTCTCCCCAAATCATTGACTTTATATATCACATCCAAGAAGGAATAAAGGAGCAAGAACTGTCACCACCCTTCTTAGAGGATGAGTCACTTATTTTGTGATCAGTGACCACCCACAGAGTGGGCTGATTTAGAAACTCGTTTGCACTACATGGCACCAAGTGGAGAGTGTTCCTTCTTTTCCCATTTGCCCTAGCTATGGGATGCTGCTTTGCTTTCTCGAGAAAACCATTCTCTCCCTCTCCTCCTAGTTTCACCAGTCTAGATGGACTGAAACTGACTTCAGATGATACCACAGCCAGCTAATAAGTTGAGATCAAGACTGACTCGCAAGCCCTGAGAATAATTTAGTGCTCTTCTAACACAAGACAGTGGGAAAGACTGTCCAAACTGTGTACTAAAGCTTGTACTAAAGAAAACTTTTAAAGGTAGTTGTGGGCAGAAGAGGGGAGGACATTTTCAGGTTTTAGTTTACCCTAGGGGGCAGGATGGGAGGGAAAAGCAGAGGAAGGCGATTCATTGAACCATGTTTCCCAAAGTATATTCTGCAGAAACGTATCTAGTGAATGCTCTAGGGAGCTGGAGTTAAGAATTGAGTAAGGCGTTGTGCTAGGGCTAAAAAGGCCACACCACCTAAACAGTTTATAAAGTGCTACTCATCCACCCTCACCAACTATAGTCACAATGAAAATTGGCATATTAAAGCTTCCAAAGTCCCACAACAAAGAAAAATGTTTCACAAACTTGGTTATGGAATCACCATAACATTTCAGCTGCTTTAAAACTAAGCTGTCTGAAATGGTTGGGTATCCCTTATCCAAAATGCTTGGGACCAGAAGCGTTTCTGATTTCAGATATTTTTTCGGGCTTTGGAATATTTACATATACATAGTGAGATCTTGGGGTGGGACACAAGTCTAAGCACAAAATTTGTTTCATATACACCTTACACACATAGCCTGGAAGACAATTTTATATTTTTAAAATTTTTGTGCATGAAATGAAGTTTGTGTTAAGTACTTTTGTGTGGAAATTCCCACTTGTAGCATCAAGTCAGTGCTCAGGAAGTTTTGGATTTTGGAGCATTTCGGATTTTGGATTTGGGACATCGCCTGTACTAGCCATACGTGGTAACTGAGCATCTGAAACATGGCTAGCGTGAATTCAGATGGGCTGTTAATGTAAAATACATACTGGATTTCAAAGACTTCATACAAAAAAATTGTAAAAGTATCTCAGTTTGTTTTCTGTTTGAGATAGAGTCTTGTTCTGTCACCCAGGCTGGAGTTCAGTGGTGCGAGCCTGCAGCTGGGACCACAGGTGGGTGCCACCATGCCCAGCTAATTTTTTGTGTGTGTGTGACAGGATCTCATTTTGTTGCTCAGGCTGGTTTCAAAATCCTGGGCTCAAGTGATTCTCCCACCTCAGCCTCCCAAAGTGCTGGGATTACAGGCCTGAGCCACCATGCCTAGTTTAAAATTTTTTTTTAAATATTGATTATATGTTGAAATGATAGTATTAATATTTTGGAAATAAGGGGTTAAATAAAATTATTAATATTTCACTTGTTTCTTTATACTTTTTCATATGGCTACTAAGAAATGTAAATTACATATATGGCTGCTCACATCATATTTCTACTGGACAGCACTCTTTTAGAAAATGCTAAGCCATAACACAGGCTTGGAAACTTCAGATATTTCTTATCATCTTGGTATCTGTGCCATATTTTTCACCTGAAAGAGAAGTACTATAGCACAAAACTTGGGAATGGTTCAAAAAAGATGTAAAAAGCATCTGGGCATTCAAACTAGGATTCATAAGATAGCCAACCTAACATGAAAATTCCATAGGTATCAAGGAATGAGGTCTATGTTTCTTACAAAAGATGAACACCTTTCGTTTTTTGTCTTGTCAATAATCCCTAGGACAGGCACGATGGCTCAAGCTTATAATCTCAGAACTTTGAGAGGCTGAGGTGGGAGGATCGCTTGAGGCCACTAGTTTGAGACCAGCCTGAGCAATACAGGAAGCCCCATCTCTACAACAAATTAAAAAGGGCCAGGCGTGGTGGCTCACGCCTGTAATCCCAGCACTTTGGGAGGCCGAGGCGGGCAGATCACAAGGTCAGGAGATCGAGACCATCCTGGCTAACACGGTGAAACCCCCATCTCAACTAAAAATACAAAAAAAAATTAGCCAGGTGTGGTGGTGGGTGCCTGTAGTCCCAGCTGCTTGGGAAGCTGAGGCAGGAGAATGGCATGAACCTGGGAGGCGGAGCTTGCAGTGAGCCGAGATTGCACCACTGCACTCCAGCCTGGGCAACAGAGTGAGACTCCGTCTCAAAAAAAAAAAAAAAAAAAAAAGTTAGCCAGGCTTGGTAGAAGGCGCCTATAGTCCCAGCTACTCAGGAGGCTGAAGTGGGGGAATTGCTTGAGCCCAGGAGGTCGAGACTGCAGTGAACCGTGGTCAGGCCACTGCACTCCGATATGAGTTACAAAGTGAGACACTGCCTCAAAGACAAAAAAATCCCTTAGATATTTATGGAACAATAGAGAACTGTTTCACTTTGCCTTTCTCTCCATGACTATGTCTGTAAAGCTATTCCTAAATAGGAATAACTTAGAATGAACAATTTTCATGCTAAAGATTGAACAAATTTCAGTAACTGAAATCACTATGTGCACTCAGCACCCATAAAGGCAAAAAAAGTTCCTTCAGGGATTCCCCAAGAGGGTGCTGCTCAAGGCCAACTTAGTTATATATTAATAGTCATTGTTCTATAATAGATTTCATTATCCCTCACTCACCTCACGACTTGGGGCAAACCACTTCAACCCCTATTTTCTGTGAAAGGGCAACAGGTATGCAGATGTCTGGAGCACTTTGAGAAGCAAAAACTGCCTAATTACTGACTTCACTATTCAACTCATGAAAGGGAGTTAGTGAAGCATTACCAGAGGAAACTACTTGTATGACTGAACACGTAACTGTCTCTGAGGGTTCCACTTCCTTAGTTGTATAACAGAAATAAGAACACCCATCTCACAAAGGAATTTGATGATCAAACAAGGGAAAGCTGAATGCCCACCATGTTGCCTGGCACTGAGGAAACACAAACATACTCTAGACTCTTCTCTGCTCTTTGAGCTTCAGTTCTCTTTGCCTTAGAGCTTGCACCTAAAGTTGAGAGGCTATATGTGTCCGTTCTCATAAAGCAAGTAAGATTACAAAATGCAAAGGAAACCACCTGTGAGACTAGGATAGGAACTGGGCTTTTATTCTTTCTCGATGTTCTCAGAACTTGTAGTTCACTAACAGCAAGTTTCCACTGTGAAGTGGCTATTGTGTCGTTTCCTGGCATGTAAAACAGCAAGCTGCAGACACCCACACACAAGAGCAAGGGATGGGTTTCTCAGTGTCCCCAGGATCCTGCTCTAGCAGTTGCTGCCTCTGTGGAAATGGCTCCACTGTAATGTGTCCTACCCTTTCACTATTGAGGCTCCATTCCTGGGCCTTACCCTCCTCAGGCCCTCAAATCTTCATTTGCTGTGAACACATATGGAGGCCTCTCCTCTCTCAGATGTGGCATCTCCATTTATAAGATACATGTTTTCTCCCACCTCAGACCAGGGGTCTCTCTCCCTTCTCCATTCTGTAGAATTTATCTATGTCCAATCACCCTGTCAACTTCACAGAGGGAGCTAAAGGGAGAAATTTTGAGAGATCAGGAATTAATATATATTAACTTTTTTCTCTGAATAGCTGAAGCTATTATTACAATGCCCTAAAGTTTCCTAAATAATCCCAGTGTGATATATTCTTGTAGTAAGTAAGTACGCAATAAAAGATACATTTGGAATAATAAAGTTCTTGAATGGGTTTCAAATGGATCATGGGCAATAGGAAACTGAAATCATTGGACGTTTTGGCCCAAGCTGTTCAGAAAACATCAATATTTCTAAGTGTTTGCATAAATGGACAAGTCCATTACACCAAGTCATCTACCTCTATAATTACAAGAGCTATGAGTTAAAAGAGGTCAAAGGTCTGGATCACCCAGAACCCCAATCTATGTGCTGAAGCACGCTGGGGAGGCACTCTCTTAGTTCTTGGGACAGATGGACAAATTTCTCATACAAAAGCAACCAGTTCTTGTCTGTACCCTAACATGTCCCTGTCGTAGCACAGATCCAACCACATCACATTTGTCTACGTTTTTTTTCTCCACCTGACAGGGTTCCTTGGCTCCCCAGGGCCAAGTACATAATGGTCAATAAAGTTTGCCTAAGATGGAACATCTACTGGAGGAGGAATGCGTCTCAAACCAGGAGCACTGTGGGCTGGGATTATACAAAGCCACAAGATGAACAAGGTGCATCTTCCTGGAGATCGAGTTTAAAACGCTTTCATATTAAAACATTTTGAGAAGAGAAAGTAAAATCCACGTGGAGTTTAAAAAATAAAGTAGTCCTGTGGCAGCCTCTTAGCTTCCAAATTCAGGGCTATTCCCCAGACTGCCAGGTGTACCACTTCCCTATCCTATCTGCTGGAGGGCTCCTGCCAAAACTAAGAAATCCCGGAAGCTCTGGACTCTACACGTGCATTACCTTTGGAGAGTTGAAAGCACTTTATCAGAGGTCAAAGACCACCAATGCCACTTTTTTTTTTTTTTCCTTCTTTTAGGCCAGTCAAGTGAAGCAGGGAGATTGGAGAAGGAGCAAAGAAATCTGTAACGGGCTATGATCAATTAGTTGTCAACACCACTGCACTGGGACCAGCCAACCAATGCCACTTTTAGATGAAAAAATAAACCAGGCAGATCTTGCCCAAACTACTCAGAAAGTTAATGCTGACGATAGAAAAAGATCTCTCCTCAATTGTTGGCCCAAGACATCACATAATTAATCCTTTTTAAAAGGTGTTAAACATTTTAAAGCCTAGAATAACGTATGGTAGCCTGTTCAGGTTCAGGGACCCCTTGATCACTTCCTGGAATGGAGGCCATCATTCAAGAATCCCTCACCTCAAGCCTCTCCCCTTTCCTTGCTTGGCTGCTTCACTGCTCAGCAATGAACCCTTATGAGTTCTATGTAAACAGGAATCAGAAGCACCCCTTCTCGGCTCTCTCAGGAAGCTCTGGGCGCACACCTGAAGTCTCTGGAGGGTCAGTACTCCTGCTGGAGGTGCAGCTGTACAACCACTAAATCAACCTCCCCTCCGGAGGGGGTTCCCGCACTCCCCAGAAGGGCTTCCAACAACCCCGAACTTTCTGAACTTTTCTCCACTCCAGCCTTCAAGGCTCTTAGCCAACCATGTCCCAAAGCAGGCGACGATTGGCCGGGCAAACATCTTGAGAGGGAAGTGGGATTGCAGAACCAGCTTCCTCCCTAAAAGTGCTTTTAGGAGCCGCAGAAAGACGCAGCCCGGACTCCGCCAGAGGGCAGGCAGCAGACACACCCCCCATCCCAGTCTGGAGTCACAATCCGCACTCACCTTGGCGGACGTCTCCCCAAACAGAGGTCTGTTGTCCAGGCCACTGGTGCCGTAGGTCCTGGTAGCAAAGTCCTCCATTTTGGGGTTTCTTCACTTTCCCCAAGCCACTTAAAAGCAAGACAGCATGACCTCCCGAGGTCTCAGGTCCACGACTGCAAGCCTCCTCCTCACGGCTCCCGCATAGCCGAACCCGAGTGGTCGGGGAAGCGCTGGCGCCAGGGATGGGTGGGGGCTCACACGCGGGGAACGCGACTGCTCCGCCCCGGCCCCGCGCACCTCCTCATCTTGAGCAGCTGCCGCAGGAAGTGAAAGGAAACAAACACTGCGTGGCAGACTCTCAGCGGGACGCCCCCGCCCGGGCAGCTCCCACTTCCTCAAATCTCAGCCCTTGGCGCCGCGTGGCTCTCCGCCCCTCTGGGCCGCCAGGGTAGCGCCGCCCGCCGCTCGCCCCCGGCTAGCACAGCAAATCGCAGTCCCCTCGCCCCGGGAGAGACTCCCACACGTCGCCCCCCATTTTTACACAATAATTTCCCATGTTTTCCCAATTTTCTACGGTAAGCACGTATTCCTTCATGTTCAAGGGAGAAAAAGTTTTCTTGGAAGAACGCATTGAGAACCCCTCGCCTAGCCTTCTGCGTCTCCCCCACTACGTTCCCCAGTGGCGGCGGGAGGAGTGAAGTTGCCGGAGCACAGCCCAGCGCTCCGCACACCCCTCCCGCAGGGCGGCGGGTTCAGGTCGCTGCCGGGGCCGACCCAAGCAACTTGGATTCCCTCTCATGTGTTGCATCTACCCCAGGGCCGGCGTGCTCGCCGCAGCTCCCGCCGCTGCTCTCCCCGCGCTCTCTGCCGGAACTGCAGCAGGAGTACGGTCTAGGCACAGCGAGAGGGAGAATCCCGCCTCGGCCCTGCCCATATTGGTCCCGCGCCCGCCAAACCTCGGCATCCCCTAGGCGCTCGCACGCTGGGGGGCCCTGGCCGCGCCGGGGAGAGTGGGCCCTGGGTCCACACCCCCGCCGGGATCCGGTGCCGAGGCCCAGGAACGCGGGCCAGATGCGTGGGAGAGGAATCGCGCGGTCCCGTCGCAGCGCTGCGGATCACCTCCCGGCTCCTTCTCAGGTCCCCCGACCCGGACCCGCTGCCTCCGTCGCAAGTCGGCCCGCCCAGGTCGCGTCACGACCGAGGCCGCCAATCCCGCGGGCCAAGGCGCCGCATTGGCTGCGGAGCTTTATTTCTAGAGGTGCCAGCTTATTCCCCGTGGGGCGGCCAATCTCCGCGGCTGCACGTTTCTCAGCTCCTTAGCCCTTAGTAATTAGTGTCCATGCGATCCACGTGGGCAAAGCACATTTCTGCAGATAGCCTTGCACCTGGCTGAAAGCATCTTAAAAACAATCAACCTGCTTTAACCACCTCAGTCTTCGCTTAACGAGGACAGAATGGCAGTCACTGGTAATTTTGGTTTAGGGTTGTTCGCATGTTTGCCTTGATTTGTTCTGTGACAGGGATCTTATGTGTTTATAGAAAGTCAGGAGGCGACAGTGCTAGATACTTATTTGACTTGTCCACTCATGCCGCCAGTGATGGTGCTGACTAAGCAAGTTTGCAGCTGTGGAGCCAGCGCTTCGCATACCAATCTCGTCTTCCAGGCTCTAGGGCATAGACAACTGGAGGTGGACAGGTCGTTAAAAGTAACAACGTCACTCTGCATTTCGAATCATGGATAAATATACAGCCACGCTGGATTCTCAGGGCACTATAGCGCCGAGACTGAAGAGAGCTCTGAAAACGTTTGTGTGCAGGGAGGATCTGGGTTGGAACGTTGTACCCACACAACATTTAGAATCCAAGCCATGATTCCCGGCGTCCACTCAACAGTTTAGGACACGGGATGGACTACAAACCATGTAGATACATAGATCTGGAATTTGCAACACTGAGCAGGATTAGTACGGTGCATATCTGACCTACAAGTTATATATTTTACAAATCATGTTTGTTTGCTCAGGACTTTCTGATAAAACAGCAATGCTACGCAATCCTGCACCCAGTTATCTTAGAAGATTGAATGGCGGTACAAATAACTTTATTCACTCACATTCAGCCACATTCAACAAAATACTTTTGAGAATCTGCTATGTACCAGACAACTACCAGACATGGTAATATAGTGGTGAAGACACAGGCATAGTCATAGTCTTGAAGCTAGAGTGGAAAACAGAGATGCATAATTAGAATCTAGAGAAAAGAGATACGGTGGCTAAGAGCACAAGCTTTGAGGTTGATCGTTTCTGCCTTCAAACCCTGATGCCACCATTGACAAGCTATGTGATCTTAGACAAGTTATCTAACCTCTCTTGATCTCCTTCATATGTAAAAAGTGAAGATCATAATAATAAGTGGAACTATAGTATATACGTTTAACTGTTTTTTTAAAAGTAATAAAGAATATATAAGACACCAACAAATAGTAAGTATCCAAATGGTGGCTGTCATAAATGGTGACAAGTGCTGTGAACTGGACACAATGGAATGCTATGGAGATACATGGGAGGAAACCCACTAGCTTCAGGTGGCAGGAAAAGTTTTCTCGAGGAAGGCTTCTAAATCAGGACCCAAAAGGAGAGTGTGAGTTAGCCAAGATGAGGAGGAGAAGCAAAATGCCAGTCCAGAGAGGCCAGATATCCGTGGAGGCTATGTTGGAGGTGGATGGTTGAGTAAGGTATCATGACCTTAGCACTCGAGAGCTGCTTATTCCCTTCTCATCAATTTTCTATGCCTCTGCTCCATTTGTTTTCCTAAAAACCAGCTTCCTCTGCTTCCTCATGATCACTACTTTCCCAAAACTTCAACTTGCATATGGCTTTAGTTTGTCTTGGTGCTAAACTCAAGGAAAATGGACCTTACAGCTCCAGTGTCCAACACTGCTTGGCAGGCCCAGTCTCTATTTCTCAGTTCGGTTTCTCACAAGGGGTTTTTATTGTCTCAGTCCGGATTATGAACGGATTTATAGCTGCATCAAGCTCTTCACCCCCAGCCAATAGGAGGGACAAAGTGGCACCTAGCTTCTAAGGTCTGCCTCCTTTAGCCAAGTGGGATAGAAGATTATTTAAAAGAAGACAATATATGTGGAAGTCAATGGTAAGATTTTCCAGTGCCTTGTGCTCAAAGTGTGGATCTCCAGACCAGCAACATGGTCATCCCCTTGTTAGGAATGCAGAATTTCAAGCCTCACCCCAAACCTACTGAATGGCAATCTACTTTTTAATAAATACCCGGGAGATTCATATGCACATTTAAACTTGGAAAGTCCTTATTTCATACACCTTTATATTTACAAATTGGACCAAGGCTGTAGAGTTTACTCTCCCAATACCATGACTTATCAATTATTTCTCTTCATTCTGCTTCAGCCACTCATTCCCGTTTCACATTCTGGACTTTGTCAACATTTAGAACTGTACCAAGCCTGAAATAAATCCAGACCATTTGGTGAGCTTTATCTTCCAGTTCTCTCACTCACGGTCAATATATCATTTATTTGGCCACCTTAGTGTCTCTGATCCTTTGGTCCCTTGACTTTCTCCTGGTAGATCTACTCCCCTATTTTCACTTTCTTCTAATTTAGATTCCGTGTTTTATCACTCTGATTGCTCTTTTGATAATATCTTCAATTCTTTTGCCTCATTTATTTTATCACCCCTGGGCAGAAAGTCCCCTGAGATATTAATCCTTCTGTGTTCTTAACACGTGTAACTTACTAGGTGTCTAGTGCAGCTGAAGGGGGAAAGAAATCATAAATGTCCCTGATTGCAGTAATCTTAAATTGAAAGCAGCCAATCTCAACTGTACCCTTAAAATCATCTGGAAATCCCGCGTTGCCTGGGCAACTCTCCTTATGTTGCCTATTTTATTCAGTCTCCTGGCCTCTCTCTGCTCCTCCCTTACTCTCAGCAGATAACTCAGCTGCCTACTTCACAGGGAAGAAAAAGAAGCTATCAGATGGGAATTTCCTCAACTCCCCAACAAAACTGCACATTTACCTATATCCAACCTGTTCCATTTCTCCTCCTTTCCAATTAGGATGGAAGAGATTCTTGCCCATCTCTCATATTTTATGTCCCATTGCATCCCATGATCACAGAGGTCTCACTATTCTGATTATATTTTTTCTTTCAAAGACATTTAAACATGATCAGTTCTAACCATGTTAAAACAAGCAAAAAAAAAAAAAAAAAAAAAAAAACAAACCACCATTGAGCCCATGTCTCTCTCTGGCTACCACACTCTCATCACACCCTTTGTGGAACTCCTAATTGGCTATACAGCCATCCTTCTCCTCCCTCTTCCCTAAAAGCAAAGCCTACCTGCGAATGTAAAGGAAAAATACACCATATAGTCACTTTCTGAGACTCCCTTGCAGCTGTGGGAAGGGATATGAGTGTTTAGGCTAATGAGTCATTAGGGCAAGTCCACTGGAGGCTTTCAAGAAGGTTTCCTCCCTGGTAAGAGAGAGGCCTATGAGGAGAGTTACCTTCTTAGACATTTTTTGTTGAGGACATGGTATTTGGAGAAGTTTCCAACATCTTATGACTATTAAGGGTGACCAAAAGTATCCCAAAGAAGCCAACCAGAGTCTAAACCTGTGAACCACCCACCTCTGGCTTCTTCTTATGTGTGGTGTGTGTGTGTGTGTGTGTGTATTTTGAGTGGAGATCTCTATTGTATAAGTCACTTTTAATTTGGATATTCTCATGCTTATAGCTGAGAACATACTGATAACATTTCTAAAGTCAAAATTTCTGTAGAAAAGTCCATACAGATTGTATCCACTTCCTTACCTCCCACATTTGCCTCAACTCACTGAAAGTCTGGTTTACATGTACTAGTCCATGAGTATTCTCCCATGAAAGTTCCAGTGAAGACTTATAGCTGAATCTAATGGATATTTTTCAGGCCTTCTCCCATATGGCCTTTCTGCAGCATTTAGCACTGAAAATTCCTGGAAATAGCCTTCACTGTAGCTCTTCTGCTCTTCCTCTCCACATCTCTTAAATATTATCTCCCAGGGCCTTGTTCTTGGCCTTTTTCTCTTCTCATGACGTGCTTTGCAAGGGTTAGTTATCTACATCCATGGCGACCATTAATACACCTCTATGCTAACTTCCCAAATGTATATGAATAGACATCCACAATTTAGCAGGAGGCGTGTAATTTATAAGGCCACTTTTACAATTAACTTAAATAACTCTATTCATTTTAGATGCAAATTAACTGTGTTTCTCTGTTTTATTGTCTCTACAGTAAAGCTGTCACAGTGGAAAGAAGTGGTTCTGAATTCTGGTTGGACATTAAAATACTTGAGGAGTTATATAATAGTCTCAGACTATACCCAGACGAATGAAATCAGAGTTTCTGGAGATGAGACTCCAGCATAAGTATTTTTTTTATTTTCTAGGTGGCTCTGGTGTGCAGCTACCAGAATCTCTGGGGTATTGAACCCCTGGATGAGCCTGAAGTTCTTCTGTGGATCCTCACTCTATTATCTGACAAGTATTAACATGGACTTTTGAGTCAACAGACATTAGTTTGAATCCTGGCTTAACCCTCACTAGATGCATACATTTGAGCAAGTTACTTAACCCCTATCAGCCTCAGTTTTTACTTTTGTGAAATAAATAAAACAATACTTGTCCTATAGGTTTTTGTGAGAATTAAATCAAATAAGGTATTGTAAACACCTGACACAGTTAACACTGTAAATTATGCATATTATGCATCTACTAAAGTGAACATTACAACAATTGCAGCAAAATGGAAAAATGCATATAATTTAATGTTAAAGGGAAAAAGTAAATATAAAGTAGAATTTATATAGTATAATTGTGTAAGATACCTATGCATATTGTGACATAACAAGAAATATGTATTTGATCTCCACTCCCAGATCATAGCACAGAGCTCCAAAATTCCTTAGAATGTCCTGGGTGATGGAAGCATCTTTTGTTTTAATGAGGCAACTCTTGGTGAGTCCCTAAACGGCTTGAGGATGGGGACTGGTCACCAGAAAGCCATGATTCGAAGCTTGGAACTTTCAGCCCCATTGCCCCATTCCCAGATCTTCCAGGGAGAAAGAGGGGCTAGAGATTGAATTAAAAATTGACCATGCCTATGTGATGAAACCTCCATAAAAAAAATCCCTAAAAGATGGAGTTCAGAGAGTTTCTGGGTTAGTGAACACATCCACATACCAGTGGGTAGCACACCCCAGTCCCACAGGGACAGAAGCTCCTGTACTCAAGACCCTTTCAGACTTTGCCCTATGTACTTCTTCATCTGGCTGTTCACCTCTATCTTTTATAATATCCTTAATAATAAACTAGTAAATGTAAGTGTTTCCCTGAGTTCTATGAGTCATCATAGCAAATCATCAAACTTGAGGAAGGGACCATAGGAATCCCTGATTTGTAGCTAAGGCAGGCAGAAGGGTGAGTCAGTGGGGATGCAGTACTTGGAACTGGTGCCTGAAGTGGGGGCAGTCTTTTGAGACTGAGCCCTTAACCTGCGGGGTGTGTGCTAACCCCAGGTAGTGTCAGAAGTAAAGTACTGAATAGAGAAAAATTGTTTTTCCTCTTTAGTTAGTGCCAAAAGTTGAGATGAGAGTGAGTAGAAAACAATATTGTGTTTTTTCTTTTACATATGAAACAAAACTGAAAGGGAGCATGAAAAATACAAAAATGGGTATTTTTTTTACTAGTCTTTCTCTCTTTTGAAGTTCTGTACCTTTGTGAGAAGACAACAAAACTGGCAATGATGCATTTGTGCCCCTTTATCTTTTCCCCCCTTAAAATATGCTCAGTAGCAAGAGTGGCATCATAAGATTTTTTTCAGTAGCCAAGTGCAAAAGTATTCAGAAGCTGAAAGTAAAGCCAGGAGAAGGTGAGGGAGGAAGCAATGTTCAAAGTCAGTCCAGGAAGGTGAGAACTGAATTAAAGGAAAAAATCAGAATCCAATTCCTGTCAGGGTTATAATAGGAGCAATGTAATTATCTACATGCAATCCTTGCTGGTGTATAGAATTATGTCAAATAGCTGGATGTAGGGAGGGTCACACTCAGTGGAGAAGTTAGAAGATGTGTGCTTTCACTCACGAATGAGAGGAGAGTAGATCAGGTAAGCAGAAGTTGGAAGATGTGTGCTTCTCTCAAAGCAGAAGTTGGAAGACTTGTGCTTTCTCTCTCTTCCCAGTGTTCACGAATGAGAAGAGAGTAGACCAGGTAAGCTGTGCCTGAGTCTTGCTGAACTGAGATGTCTCTTAAAGAGCAGGAAGTGGGGAGAAACACACATCTTCAAACTTCTGCTTTGAGTGTGACCCTCACAGCCTCACTCAGCGGACTTCATGAAAAAAGGCAAAGGGAAAAACCAAATCAAGATGGGAGGAAGGCTGCAGTTCCAAAGGAAAGTAACAGAAGGAGATTAAGGGAGAAAATGTCTTTCAGCAGCACAAGAGCCAGATGGGAGTAACTGCTAGGGGAGCACATAGTCTGAATAGTCATGTAATGGGAAAATTGATTTACAGATATAAGGAACTTAGGCATTGCAACCAATTGCACACATCAATCTGTATGTGCTCCTAAGTGTAGGTAGGATCTGTGGGCCTACTGATAAAACTTTTTGAATAGAAGGATGAGATTTCTACATACCCCTTGCATATCAGGCAGGTGCTATGGACCAACCACCTCCACAACTGGGAGACTCGAGCCTGGTCTGAGCTGGGGAAAGTCAGTGTCAGTACCAATTTCCTCATCTGTAAAAGGAAAAATTATATTCTACTCTGACTGATCTAAAATGCTAATACATTAGCTGGGCATGGTGGCAGGTGAATGTAGTCCCAGCTATTCAGTAGGCTGAGGTGGGAGGATCACTTGAGCCCAAAGTGGATCACTTGAGCCTGGGATGTCAAGGCTGCAGTGAGCCGTGATTGCACCACTACACTCCAACTTGGGTTGGACCCTGTAAAATAACATAATAAAATAAAATGCTAATACACTGTGAAATAATTAGAAGATCTATTTTTACATTTTTGTACTTTTGCACCAGGCATGGTGGCTCATGCCTGTAATCCCAGCACTTTGGGAGGCTGAGGCGGGAGGATTGCTTGAGGCCAGGAGTTCAAGACCAGCCCTGGCAACATAGCGAGGGCAGGCTTGATGGCACATGCTTGTAGTCACTGTACCAGGGAGGCTGAGGTGGGAGGATGGCTTGAGACCAGGAATTCAAGGTTGCGGTGTGCTGTGATCACACTCTGCACTCAGCCTGGGTGACAGAGCAGCAACTTGTCAAAAGAAGGAAGGAAGGAAGCAAAGAAGGAGAAAGAAAGAAGAGGGAGGGAGGAGAGAGAAAGAAAGAAAAAAGAGAAAGAAAGAAAAGACAAGAAAAGAAAAGGAAGGAAGTATTTCTAGATTTACGTAAAAGTTGAAGAGAGAGATAGTACAGGGTATACCCTTCACCCAGCTTCCCTAACATCTTATCAATATAAAACCATGGTACATTTAACAAAACTAAAAAAAAATAGCATTGGTACAATACTATTATCTAACTAGGGGTGTCCAATCTTTTGGCTTCCATAGGCCATATTGGAAAAAGAAGAATTATCTTTGGCCACACATAAAATACACTAACATTGATGATACCTGATGAGCTAAAAAAAAAATCACCAGAAAATCTAATAATGTTTTAAGAAAGTTTATGAATTTGCACTGGGCCACATTCAAAGCCATCTTGGACTGCATGTGGCCCATGGGCCACGGGTTGGACAAGCTTGATCTAAACTATAGATATTATTGAGAGTTCTCTATTTTTAAATAAGGCTGCTATGTAGTGAGACCTGTGTCCTTGAGCAAATCTCAGAGGCTGTCTCTTATGTCCACTAATAAACAAAAATTTCCTCTCTCATAGAGGTGTTGTAGGAATTAAATGAGATGTAATAGGTGAAATAGTTTTTTTTTTGTCTTTTTTTTTTCTTTTTGTGGAGAACGGGGTCTCACTATATTGCCCAGGCAGGTCTTGAACTTCTGGGCTCAAGCTATCCTCCTGCCTCTGCCTCCCTAAGAGCTGGGATTACAGGCTTGAGCCACTGTGCCCAGCCGTGAAATAGATTTTTACTCTAAACTGCTATTCACTGGAATAAGCCACAATGGATAAGAGATAATTTTTAGATGTTTTAATAATTGACTTGGCAGTGCTACTGAAGCAGATAAAATCTGCAGCACTGGTCTAGCAGCATACATTGCTGAAACACTGTTCTCAATTTGAAAGTGTAAAATTTGCCCAGAGAAATTAGAGAAATACATTCATTAAGTCAATCCTCTCAAATATGAGCAAATAGATTCTTGAGCAGATAAACAATTTCCTAAAGTTCCTACAATAACTTTTGGATTTTTCACATGTGTATTATTTTTAACTAATTAATTTCATGAGTCAGGAATTTGAAAATATTTAAGGACAGGTAAATAATTTTTCAGGTTTTGAACTATATTTCTTAAGAAAACTTAGGAAAAAGTAATGGAACTAATACCAGTTGTTATTTCATTATTTCATTCAAAATCTAGAATATTACTGATAATAATTTTGAGTAAATTATTTAAAATTCAGGCATACCTTTAGGAAATGTGTGTACCATACCCTGGCTGTTTTTTTTTTTTTCAGTTATTCATTTAGCCTTAGGAGTTTCCATTTCTTCATTGTAAAATGGGCACAATGGAATAGTTTTTCAAACCTCTCTGAGACTGACATCATGTGACTGTTTCACCACAAGAGAGAGGCCTAACATTAAAGGGGAGAAAGAAAAAACAAAATAAATGTAAATGTAGTTCACAGATGCAGGACAGTTATAGCTGTTTTTCATGTAATGATATTATTGGCCTTTATGTTTTAGACGGAGTGGTGGTTTAAAGTCTTTTTCACAAAGGTATTTTCTCTGTGATAATTTTAAACACAGCACGACACAAACACTGTACACACTCAAGCTTAAACCTGCCAGCCTTGATGTAGGTGACTTTCCCATACTATTTAAGTTGTTCTCTAAATAGACATAACAGTGGGGGTAGTAACACTTCTTTTCTTAGAATAATGCCACTCTAATTTTTTTAGGAAGACTAGACAGAAATACAATCTTATTGCTTAAACATCCAGCTTCACAGTGAAAAATAAATATCTGAAGAAGTTAATAATATTGCTTAACATATCTATGACATCTTTTTCTAATAATGGGCAATATATCAATTTAACCTTTCAAGTGTACAAATATGGGCAGGGTGTGGTGGTGCATCCCTATAATCCCAGTGCTTTGGAAGGCCAAGGCAGGAGGATCACTTGAGCCCAAGTGTTTGAGACCAGCCTGGACAACATAGGGAGACCCCACCTTGAGCCCAAGTGCTTGAGACCACCTGGGCAACATAGGGAGACCCCATTAACTAGGCATGGTGATGCGCACCTAAAGCCTTGGCTACTTGGGAGGCTAAGGTGGGAGAATCACTTGAACCCATGAGTTCAAGTGAGCTATGATCACACCACTTCATTCTAGCCTGGGTAACAGAGTAAGACCTTGTTGATGGCAAAGGCAGCCAATCTGGTGCACCCACTGCAAAGACGTCTACTGCAGCAGGGGAGGTTATCAGTCTGCAGGTAACTAGTGGGAGCCCAGCCCCTTTCTGAATTGGTGGGGCAGGAGCCCTGCCCTCCTGGGTGCAGCTGCAGCTGCCCAGCTGCAGCTGTGGACCTGGGCATCTCTGAACTCTTGGGGACCAAGGAAGACTCCTTCCCCCACAGGCTGGGAAGTGCCTGCTCCTGCTGCCTGGCCTCGCCCTCCTCCTGGCACCCTCTCTGATTTTGGAGCAAAGTTGAGGCCCAGCCCAGGCACTGTCATGACCCAACCAGGTGTGTGTGCACTCAGGGTGGTGCTAACATGCCAGCCCCCTGCCACCTTGGCCCCCTCTAGACTTTGGGTGCCTACCAGCATGGGAGGGAGGCTGATGGGGGCCACTGAGGGGAGCTCGGAAGAGGCCTGGAGGCTGCCCTCCTCACAAACAGACTGGGTGCTGTGGACAACATGATTGATGAAGGCAGGAGGCAGACAGGCTCCTGTGTGGAAAGGGGTGGTCCCCAGTGAAGCCCCACCTTCAAGTCAAGGATGGCCTGAAGCATGAGGGCTGGGCTGTCAGTTCCAGTGGAGTCAGCCAACTGGAGTGAGAGCTGGACACACCTTGGGGTGACCTGCCAGAGGAATGGAGCTACCCACTGTGGATCACCTCTCTGCTGAGAGCTGAACAGACATCAGGATGACCTGCCTGTGGATAGGAGCTACCCAGTCTAGATCTCCTCTCTGCTGAGGGCTACGCAGATGTCAGGACAACCTGCCAGCAGAAAGGAGCTAGCCACTCTGGGTCTTCTCTCCACTGAGAGCTGGACAGATGTCCAGACAACCTGCCTGCAGAAAGGAGCTGCTACCCACTTCGGGTCTCCTGAGAGCTGTTCTGTTGCTCAAGAAGCTCCTCTCTGCCTTGCTCACCCTCCAATTGTCTGTGCACCTCATTCTTCCTGTACATGGGACAAGAACTCGAGAGGGACTGAATGGCGGGACTGAAAGCGCTGTAACACAAACAGGGCTGAAATATGCCCCCATCCCCACTCACCATGTTGCCTAGGATGAGAAGGAGAAGAGCTGTGGCCCTTCGGGAACCCCAGACCTAGGGTGCTCCCTGAGCCAGGGCTGTGACACCCTCTTTGGGACTCTCCAGTTCCTAGTGTCTCCAAGCTTCTGGGTGCCACAGCATTCCCCTTGTCCAGACACAGGTGCCCACAGTGGAAGCTGTATATTGTACATCTGGTCCAGCCACAACCTCTCATGGAGCCGCCAGCCAACTGCAGCAGCCAGCGTGTCTGGCTGTGCATGGTGGCCAGACCCCATGCTTGCTTACCCACACACCACTCGCTGCTCCGCACCTGGCTCGCCTTTGGCAGTTGTGGGATGTGGGCCAGTAGTGCCAGCCAAGAGCAGCCTGCCAGGCCAAGGGGGCAGAACAAGCCCAGCAGTGCCAGCAATACTCAGGCAGAAGGCGCCGCTGGCCACAGAGGTTTCCAGCTGGCAAAGTGACAACTCAAGGATCCTGTGACATTTTCTTTAAAAATAAACAAATAAATAATGCAGAAAAATTAATCAAACAAAAACAAGAATGAAAACATTTTGTCATCATGACTTCTGACATTTTAGATAAAATAAACAGAACATCACAGAATAAGTTTGTCTAATTTGTTTCTCTCTCCAAGGAAGAAGTTTTGAGAGGCTTTATTTTTTCCTAAAGAAAAACATCAAGATTGAGAAGGAAAAAGCAAATAAATAGCAACCAGGACAAAGAAATTGTCTTGCAATCTGCCCTTCCAACAGTACACATTTTTCCTTCTTAGACAGTCATTTGCATTCTCCCCAGTGAAAACATTGGCACCACTATCCCTTGGCTGAGTTCCTTGACAATCCCTGCACTGAAGACATCTGTTACTGAAATAGATTAGGAAAATAAATAGATTAGGGAAAAGGTATTAAGTCTCAGAATATACAAAGGAAGAAATTTCATCTCTACCACCCAACATGGTGTTTTTCCACCTCAGACTCTAAAGAAAGAGATAACCAGAAACTCTGAATATCTAATGTAATTAACTTCTCCTGCCTACATGTCTTCTGTTGCCTCCTGTAATGGGTTGAATTGTGGCCTCCCAAAAGATATGTCCACCTAAAACCTGTGGCTGTAATTGTGTTAAAAAAAAAATCAGTGACACTTGTTAAAGCACAGCATGGAAAACTTTATCCAGAAACATCATGATTGGTATAGGGACTGCTACAATGGGGTCTTGCAGCAGCAGAGAGAGATTTGGCTCAACTCTGAATACAGAATAGGCAAGTGGGAATTTATAGCCAAGGAGTAAGGTGGGACTCAGTGCATGGAAAATTACTAAAAGGAAATATCAGATGGGCATTCTGGTTAAACCGGTGTCCTTGCTGAAGACACACCAGGGTGATCAGACATCACCTGGGGAATGATGGAGGATGAGGAACCCGATCAGCTACAGAGCATGATCAGATATGTAGGGGCTTTTAGCTATCCTGACCTAGCAGAGTTCTCTTCTACAACTGGATTTTACAAGGAAGTGCACAGATGAGCCTAGGAGAAGTGTCAGGAGCCTGACTAAAGTTTGGCCAAGCAGAGAATCTTTGTCAACTGCTCTGGATTGAATGTTTATGTCCTTCCCAAATTTATAAGTTGAAGCCCTATCCCCAATGTGATGGTATTTGAAAGTGGGGCCTTTAGGAGGTAATTAGATCATGAGGGTAGAACCTTCTTGAATGGGATTAGTACCCTTATAAGAAAATACATGAAAGATATTATCTCGGTCTCTCTCCCACATGAGGATAGAGCCAGAGGCAGCAATCTGCAAGCCAGGAATAAGTCCCTCACCAGAACCCAACCATACTGGTACCCTGATCTTGGACTTCCAGCTCCCAGAACTGTGAGGAATAAATGTTCATTGTTTAAGCCACCCGATTTATGTTATTTGTTATACCAGCCTGACCTGAGTAAGACAGTGAACGTATTTGGAGAGAAGGCTCTTTGCAGGTGTAGTTAACGATCTCGAGAGGAAATCATCTTGGATTGGGGTGGTCCCTAAGTCCAATGATTAGTGCCCTTTTAAGAGTAGGTGACCATATAGAGACACACAGAGAAGGCCATGTGAAAATGGGGTTGAGATTGGAGCATGGAAAGGATTATCCCTCAGAACTTCCTGAAGAAAACAACCATGACTACACTTTGATTTCAGACTTCTGACCTGCAGAACTGTGAGAGAATAAATAAATGTCTGTTGTTTGAAGCCACTAGTTTGTGGTAATTTGTTTCAGCAGCCCTAGGAAACTACAATTGTTCTACTGGGAACTGCTTTTCCCTTCATTAAAAATGTTTCAAGAATCTGTTAATGTTGACAAAGTTTTCTCCTGTTCACAGCCCCTAGAAAAACCACTTGTTCAAAAGTGAAAAGTGTTCTAAGAGAACGATTGCATACAGAATAGGAAACCTATCATCTGTATAGTATAAAACCTACCTATAAAATAAGAACACTGAATTTTTAATAGACCCCAGAACATTAGTGTCATACTTCAATGTCATCCTTAGACTATACACCTAAATCAAATTGCTACATTCATTCACTCACTCACCCTCTTGAAAGTCTTCTTTTGTATTCACCTTAGAACCTGTTGGCAAGTTACATGAGCAAGACAATTTCATTCATTTATAGTTACAACTCCAAGAATTATGATCCAATCTTTACTCTTAGAAAATTTAAGTTGCAGTGGCAGAAACAAATATTGAACTGGACCCCATTTTAAATTTAAAATATATGTATATTCCCAAAAGATGAAGAACTTTGTTGTTTTTTTTTTTTTTTTTTTTTGAGGCAGGGTCTCACTCTGTTGCCCAGGCTGCAGTGCAGTGATGAGATCACAACAGGCCTCGACCTTCCAGGCTCAGCTGATACTCCCACCTCAGCCTCTCAATTAGCTGGGATTACAGGCATGTGCCACCATGCCTAGCTAATTTTTTCTTTTTTTTTTAGAAACAGGGTTTTGCCATGTTGCCCAGGCTGGTCTCAAACTTCTGGGCTCAAGCGATCTACTTGTCTTGTCCTCCCAAAGTGCTGGGATTACAGGCATGAGCCGCTATACCAGGCCAAAACTTTCTTTATTTATTGTTTTTACACCCACCAAACTAGCGAAAATTAAAAGCCTAACAACAGCATGTTTTGGCAAAGATATAAAATATTAGAAAATCTCATACTTTGCTGGTGGTGTGGGTGTAACTGGAACACTACTTTAATCATCATATAGTTAAGTTTAAAATGCATTATCTCTTCCTCCAACAATTCTAAACCTAGGTGTATAGAAGAAACTTTCGCACAAATATACCAAGAGACTTGTGCAAGAAGCTGCAAGGGAACATTGTTTGTAACAACAAAAAGGTGGAAACAGCCCAAATGCCCATAAACAGATAGAACAAATAAATAGATGAAACATACTAATACAATAGAATATAGCAATGAAAATAAGCAAACCACAGTTATATATATCAACATACCAACAAGGGTAAATCACACAACCGTAATGGTGAACAACAACCAAAAAAGGAAGTTGCAGAATCTCATGGAGTTTGTAGCAGACACTGGCAATGCCTTGCTTGTATCCCATTGGACACTACCATTTCAGTGCAGGCCAATCCACCCTCCAACTGCCAGTAACTGCAACTCCTTGCCCAGGGGCTTCTCTTTGCTGAAATCACTCTGCCTGCATGCATGGAAGGCCAGAAGTGCCAGGGAATCACAGGTAATATGTGTAAATACCCCAGCTCCTTTACCCCATGGATGGGATAACTCTAAGGTATATATTCTGGTTCCAGAGCTCCTCCATGTGATTAAGATATAGTTGCCCACAGTGGTAACTTCTTTGATAGCAACCCTAAGCTGGCCTCCTTTCCTCCCCTATCTCAGTTCCCAGCTCCCCTACTGGGTTTTTGTGGCCCATTTCCCAAATCAACCACTTGCATTATAGTCCATATCTGAGGGTGTGCTTCTGACAAACAAAACTAAGACACTATGATTCTATTTGTATGTGGTTAGTAGAATGGCATTGCAGGCATACCTCAGAGATACTGAAGATTCAGTTCATGAATATTGCAGTAAAATGAGTCACACAAACATTTTGGTTTCCTAATGCATATAAAAGTTATGTTACACTATACAGTAGTCTGTTAAATGTGCAATAGCATTATATCTACAAATACAATGCACATACCTTGATTTTAAATTACTGTATTGCTAAAATATGCTATCATTTGAGCCGGTAGTGATCTTCAGTAATCTTTTTGCTTGTTATGCCTCAATGTTGATGGCTCCTGACTGATCAGGGTGGCGGTACTAAAGGTTAGGGCGGCACTAAAGTTTAGCACTTTCTAAAACTAAAACAATAATGAAGTTTGCCACATCAATTGACTTTCCCTTTTACAAAAGATTTCTCTGAAGCATGTGATGCTATCTGATAGCATTTTACCAATAGTAGAATGTCTTTCAAAACTGGAGTCAAACCTCTCAAACTCTGCCAATGCTTTATCAACTAAGTTTATGTAATATTTTAAATCCTTTGTTGTCATTTCAACAATGTTTATAGCATCTTCACCAGAAGTAGATTCTATCTCAAGAAACCACTTTGCTCATCCATAAGAAGCAACTCCCATTTATTGATCATGATATTGCATTAATTCAGTCACATCTTCCGATCCCCTTCTAGTTCTAGTTCTCTTGCTATTTCTACCATATCCGCAGTTATTTCCCCCACTGAAGTCTTGAACCCCTCCAAATCATTCATGAAGGTTGGAATCCACTTCTTCCAAACTCCTGTTAACGTTGATTTTTGGACCTCCTCCCAATGAATCACAAATATTCTTAATGGCATTTAAAATGATAAATCCATGCTGTCTTTCTGTGTGAGAAAAAATAATAAAATAGAATAAAATGATGAGTCCTTTCCAGCAGGGTTTTCATTGACTTTGCCCAGATCCACCAGAGGGATCACTATTTATGGCAGCTGTAGCCTTATAAAATGTATTTCTTAAATAATAATACTTGAAAGTCAAAAATATCCCTTAATCCATGGGCTGCAGAATGGATGTTGTGTTAGCAGCATCCATCCTGCAGCCCATGGATTGAGGTGTATTTTAATGAAAATAACATTCATCTCCTTGTATATCTCACCAGAAGTCTGTTTGACCAGGTTCATTGTCAATGAACATTAATATTTGGACAGGAGTCTCTTTTTCTAAGCTGTAGATCTCAACAGTGGGCTTAAAATATTCAGGAAACGATGCTGTAAACAGATTTACTGTCACTCTGGCTTTGTTGTTCCATTTATAGAGCAAAGGTAAAGTAGATTTTGCATAATTCTTAAGGGCCCTGGGGTTTTCAGAATGGTAAATGAGCATCAAAGTGAACTTATTATAAAATCACCAGTTGCATTAAAAAGGGAGTCAGCCTGTCCTTTACAGACTGAAGCTGCTGGCAGCAGGAGTCTGGGGCCTGACCCTAGGGTTTTGCCATTAATGTGATTACACAGTAATGCCTATCTCTTCCTGTCAACAGGCTTTCCAGTCCTGTGTCTTTCCCCCACTTATATCTCTTGCTTATTCATAGCTTCTATTTTCCCATAACCTCAACTTATTGAAACCTTTAGCTTATAAATGACCCATTATTACCATTCTAGCCTCTCCTTATCTCAAGGACTTTTACCTTTTGCCTACTCTGTCAACCACATAAAATCTTTCTGCATGTTCGATTTCAGATTCATGACACAGAGACTCTGATGGACCCTGACAGCCTCTTTATCAAAAAAGTTTTTTTGCATCAGGCGTTTTGATAGGTGATTGGTCAAGATAGAGACTGGCTACCCTGGTTGGACTGTGCCCTGCAAGGGTCAACATTCCTGCCCTTCCCAGTGGAGATCCCTTGGTATATTATGTGTCTGGCTAGAATTGTGGTGCCCTCTCGTGGACATTTTCAGTATTACAAGAGCCATAATTTTCTTCCAGGATTGTTTTCAAACTATGGGTACGTTAACTTAGGATGATGAAATCAACGAGCAGTTGACAACAATACATTTGGTCCAGAATTGTAATAATGAAATGGAAAGATATAAGAGTGCATCTCATTTATTAAGATTGAGTATTATTTTGGCCGGGCGCGGTGGCTCACGCCTGTAATCCCAGCACTTTGGGATGCCGAAGCGGGCCGATCACGAAGTCGAGAGATCGAGACTATCTTGGCTAACACGGTGAAACCCCGTCTTTACTAAAAATACAAAAAAAAAAAAATTAGCCGGGCGTGGTGGCGGGCGCCTGCAGTCCTGCTACTCGGGAGGCTGAGGCAGGAGAATGGCGTGAACCCCAGAGGCGGAGCTTGCAGTGAGCCGAGATCACGCCACCGCACTCCAGCCTGGGCAACAGAGCGAGACTCCGTCTCAAAACAAAACAAAAAACAAAAAACAAAGATTGAGTATTGTTTCATGAAATTTTGTTTTAGATGTATGTGTGTGTGTGTGTGTGCGCGAGTGCGTGCATATAAATGTATTTGGTGCAAAAGCAATTGCAGTTTAAAAAATGTCAAAAACCACAGTTGCTTTTGGACCAACCTAAATATGTGATATTCAAATATCATAACATAGGCATAACATAACATAGGCATATGTTATGCCTAATCTAATCTAATGTGGGTCAAATAACATAGGCATAGACACCCATTGTAAACAACTAACACAGCTATATTAGAGGGAACTAGCTATTCAGCCTTTAAAGGATGGCCAAGATTGAGATGTAAAATGTTTATTTTTTAATATAGGTCATGTCAAAAGAATTTGAAAGATACTGTTCTAGAATACAACTCAATATAGCTATATATCATACATTTTAATAATTACATAGTATTTGTATAATTTACTATAATTTAGGTAACCCAGTGGTTCTCTCTCCTTGTATAACACATTCCTACCAGTAAGAGAGGCTCTAGGTAATTTGGAAACACTCTCATGACACTTCTGTCTCCCATCTGACACCCACATTCTCTCTTTCTCTCTCTCACTCACACACACACACAAGTTGAGCATTACTAATTTTAACAATTTTCCTATCATTGGCTATTTAGATTAGAGAGTTTGGAGAGGGAATAGAATGAATGGTTAAGAATGTAGGCTCTAATGAACTCTTCCATTTACTGGGTGTGTGACCAGGTTACTTGATCTGTCAAATGGGGATGGTAATAGCCTCAATAGTACCTCCCTCATAGGGTTGTCTATGAGGTTTGAATGAATTAACTTATATAAAGTGCTCAGATCAATATATGGTAAATACTCAATTAAATGTTAGGTATTATCACTATTTAGGTTGTATCCAGTTTTTCACTATTGTAAGTAAAAATATTGATGCAATGAATATCTCTGTAGCAAAATCTTTGGAAAGCAGACTTTGTTAAGTCTACTTGTGAAAATAGAATTGCTAGGTATAATGATAAGTATATTTTTAAGGGGTTTTAAAATTTTTGCTAAATTATCCATCTGGAAGGACCCTTTACCACCAGTGATTGAAAGGCCAAACTCGGAGGAGGAGCCAAGATGGCCGAATAGGAACAGCTCCGGTCTACAGCTCCTAATGTGAGCGACACAGAAGACGAGTGATTTCTGCATTTCCATCTGAGCTTTGAAGAGAGCAGTGGTTCTCCCAGCACGCAGCTGGAGATCTGAGAACGGGCAGACTGCCTCCTCAAGTGGGTCCCTGACCCCTGACCCCCGAGCAGCCTAACTGGGAGGCACCCCCCAGCAGGGGCACACTGACACCTCACACGGCCGGCCGGGTACTCCAACAGACCTGCAGCTGAGGGTCCTGTCTGTTAGAAGGAAAACTAACAAACAGAAAGGACATCCACAACAAAAACCCATCTGTACATCACCATCATCAAAGACCAAAAGTAGATAAAACCACAAAGATGGGGAAAAAACAGAGCAGAAAAACTGGAAACTCTAAAAAGCAGAGCGCCTCTCTTCCTCCAAAGGAACGCAGTTCCTTATCAGCAACAGAACAAAGCTGGGCGGAGAATGACTTTGATGAGCTGAGAGAAGAAGGCTTCAGACGATCAAATTACTCCGAGCTATGGGAGGACATTCAAACCAAAGGCAAAGAAGTTGAAAACTTTGAAAAAAATTTAGAGGAATGTATAACTAGAATAACCAATACAGAGAAGTGCTTAAAGGAGCTGATGGAGCTGAAAACCAAGGCTCGAGAACTACGTGAAGAATGCAGAAGCCTCAGGAGCCGATGTGATAAACTGGAAGAAAGGGTATCAGTGATGGAAGTTGAAAGGAATGAAATGAAGCGAGAAGGGAAGTTTAGAGAAAAAAGAATAAAAAGAAACGAGCAAAGCCTCCAAGAAATATGGGACTATGTGAAAAGACCAAATCTACGTCTGATTGGTGTACCTGAAAGTGACGGGGAGAATGGAACCAAGTTGGAAAACACTCTGCAGGATATTATCCAGGAGAACTTCCCCAATCTAGCAAGGCAGGCCAACATTCAGATTCAGGAAATACAGAGAATGCCACAAAGATACTCCTCGAGAGGAGCAACACCAAGACACATAATTGTCAGATTCACCAAAGATGAAATGAAGGAAAAAATGTTAAGGGCAGCCAGAGAGAAAGGTCGGGTTACCCTCAAAGGGAAGCCCATCAGACTAACAGCAATTCTCTCAGTAGAAACTCTACAAGCCAGAAGAGAGTGGGGGCCAATATTCAACCTTCTTAAAGAAAAGAATTTTCAACCCAGAATTTCATATCCAGCCAAACCAAGCTTCATAAGTGAAGGAGAAATAAAATACTTTACAGACAAGCAAATGCTGAGAGATTTTGTCACCACCAGGCCTGCCCTAAAAGAGCTCCTGAAGGAAGCGCTAAACATGGAAAGGAACAACCGGTACCAGCCACTGCAAAATCATGCCAAAATGTAAAGACCATCGAGACTAGGAAGAAACTGCATCAACTAACGAGCAAAATAACCAGCTAACATCAAAATGACAGGATCAAATTCACACATAACAATATTAACTTTAAACGTAAATGGACTAAATGCTCCAATTAAAAGACACAGTCTGGCAAATTGGATAAAGAGTCAAGACCCATCAGTGTGCTGTATTCAGGAAACCCATCTCACGGGCAGAGACACACATAGGCTCAAAATAAAAGGATGGAGGAAGATCTACCAAGCAAATGGAAAACAAAAAAAGGCAGGGGTTGCAATCCTAGTCTGTGATAAAACAGACTTTAAACCAACAAAGATCAAAAGAGACGAAGAAGGCCATTACATAATGGTAAAGGGATCAATTCAACAAGAAGAGCTAAGTATCCTATATATATATATGCACCCAATACAGGAGCACTGAGATTCATAAAGTAAGTCCTGAGTGACCTACAAAGAGACTTAGACTCCCACACTAAGTGGGAGACTTTACCCCACTGTCAACATTAGACAGATCAACAAGACAGAAAGTCAACAAGGATACCCAGGAATTGAACTCAGCTCTGCACCAAGTGGACCTAATAGACATCTACAGAACTCTCCACCCCAAATCAACAGAATATACATTTTTTTCATCACCACACCACACCTATTCCATAATTGACCACATACTTGGAAGGAAAGCTCTCCTCAGCAAATGTAAAAGAACAGAAATTAGAACAAACTATCTCTCAGACCACAGTGCAATCAAACTAGAACTCAGGATTAAGAATCTCACTCAAAACCGCTCAACTACATGGAAACTGAACAACCTGCTCCTGAATGACTACTGGGTACATAACGAAATGAAGGCAGAAATAAAGATGTTCTTTGAAACCAATGAGAACAAAGACACAACATACCAGAATCTCTGGGACGCATTCAAAGCAGTGTGTAGAGGGAAATTTATAGCACTAAATGCCCATAAGAGAAAGCAGGAAAGATCCAAAATTGACACCCTAACATTACAATTAAAAGAACTAGAAAAGCAAGAGCAAACACATTCAAAATCTAGCAGAAGGCAAGAAATAACTAAAATCAGAGCAGAACTGAAGGAAATAGAGACACAAAAAACCCTTCAAAAAATTAACGAATCCAGGAGCTTGTTTTTTGAAAGGATCAACAAAATTGATAGACCGCTAGCGAGACTAATAAAGAAAAAAAGAGAGAAGAATCAAATAGACGCAACAAAAAATGATAAAGGGGATATCACCACCGATCCCGCAGAAATACAAACTACCATCAGAGAATACTACAAACACCTCTACGCAAATAAACTAGAAAATCTAGAAGAAATGGATAAATTCCTTGACACATACACTCTCCCAACACTAAATGAGGAATAAGTTGAATCTCTGAATAGACCAATAACAGGAGCTGAAATTGTGGCAATAATCAATAGCTTACCAACCAAAAAGTTTCCAGGACCAGATGGATTCACAGCCGAATTCTACCAGAGGTACAAGGAGGAACTGGTACCATTCCTTCTGAAACTATTTCCATCAATAGAAAAGGAGGGAATCCTCCCTAACTCATTTTATGAGGCCAGCATCATCCTGATACCAAAGCTGGGCAGAGACACAACCTAAAAAGAGAATTTTAGACCAATATCCTTGATGAACATTGATGCAAAAATCCTCAATAAAATACTGGCAAACGGAATCCAGCAGCACATCAAAAAGCTTATCCACCATGATCAAGTGGGCTTCATCCCTGGGATGCAAGGCTGGTTCAATATATGCAAATCAATAAATGTAATCCAGCATATAAAGAGAACCAAAGACAAAACCCACATGATCATCTCAATAGATGCAGAAGAGGCCTTTGACAAAATCCAACAACCTTCATGCTAAAAAACTCTCAATAAATTAGGTATTGATGGGACATATCTCAAAATAATAAGAGCTATCTATGACAAACCCACAGCCAATATCATACTGAATGGGCAAAAACTGGAAGCATTCCCTTTGAAAACTGGCACAAGACAGGGATGCCCTCTCTCACCACTCCTATTCAAAATAGTGTTGAAAGTTCTGGCCAGGGCAATTAGGCAGGAGAAGGAAATAAAGGGTATTCAATTAGGAAAAGAGGAAGTCAAATTGTCCCTGTTTGCAGATGACATGATTGTATATCTAGAAAACCCCATTGTCTCAGCCCAAAATCTCCTTAAGCTGATAAGCAACTACAGCAAAGTCTCAGGATACAAAATCAATGTACAAAAATCACAAGCATTCTTATACACCAACAACAAACAGAGAGCCAAATCATGAGTGAACTCCCATTCACAATTGCTTCAAAGAGAATAAAATACCTAGGAATCCAACTTACAAGGGATGTGAAGGACCTCTTCAAGGAGAACTACAAACCACTGCTCAAGGAAATAAAAGAGGATACAAACAAATGAAAGAACCTTTCATGCTCATGGGTAGGAAGAATCAATATCGTGAAAATGGCCATACTGCCCAAGGTAATTTACAGATTCAATGCCATCCCCATCAAGCTACCAATGACTTTCTTCACAGAATTGGAAAAAACTACTTTAAAGTTCATATGGAACCAAAAAAGAGCCCGCATCACCAAGTCAATCCTGAGCCAAAAGAACAAAGCTGGAGACATCACACTACCTGACTTCAAACTATACTACAAGGCTACAGTAACCAAAACAGCATGGTACTGGTACCAAAACAGAGATATAGATCAATGGAACAGAACAGAGCCCTCAGAAATAACGCCGCATATCTACAACTATCTGATCTTTGACAAACCTGAGAAAAACAAGCAATGGGGAAAGGATTCCCTATTTAATAAATGGTGCTGGGAAAACTGGCTAGCCATATGTAGAAAGCTGAAACTGGATCCCTTCCTTACACCTTATACAAAAATCAATTCAAGATGGATTAAAGACTTAAACGTTAGACCTAAAACCATAAAAACCCTAGAAGAAAACCTAGGCAATACCATTCAGGACATAGGCATGGGCAAAGACTTCATGTCTAAAACACCAAAAGCAATGGCAACAAAAGCCAAAATTGACAAATGGGATCTAATTAAACTAAAGAGCTTCTGCACAGCAAAAGAAACGACCATCAGAGTGAACAGGCAACCTACAAAATGGGAGAAAATTTTTGCAACCTACTCATCTGACAAAGGGCTAATATCCAGAATCTACAATGAACTCAAACAAATTTACAAGAAAAAAACAAACAACCCCATCAAAAAGTGGGCAAAGGACATGAACAGACACTTCTCAAAAGAAGACATTTATGCAGCCAAAAGACACATGAAAAAATGCTCACCATCACTGGCCATCAGAGAAATGCAAATCAAAACCACAATGAGATACCATCTCACACCAGTTAGAATGGCAATCATTAAAAAGTCAGGAAACAACAGGTGCTGGAGAGGATGTGGAGAAATAGGAACACTTTTACACTGTTGGTGGGAATGTAAACTAGTTCAACCATTGTGGAAGTCAGCGTGGTGATTCCTCAGGGATCTAGAACTAGAAATACCATTTGACCCAGCCATCCCATTACTTGGTATATACCCAAAGGACTATAAATCATGCTGCTATAAAGACACATGCACACATATGTTTATTGTGGCATTATTGACAATAGCAAAGACTTGGAACCAACCCAAATGTCCAACAATGATTGACTGGATTAAGAAAATGTGGCACATATACACCCTGGAATACTATGCAGCCATAAAAAATGATGAGTTCATGTCCTTTGTAGGGACATGGATGAAATTGGAAATCATCATTCTCAGTAAACTATTGCAAGAACAAAAAACCAAACACCGCATATTCTCACTCATAGGTGGGAATTGAACAATGAGAACACATGGACACAGGAAGGGGAACATCACACTCTGGGGCCTTTTGTGGGGTGGGGGGAGGGGGGAGGGATAGCATTGGGAGATATACCTAATGCTAGATGACGAGTTAGTGGGTGCAGTGCACCAGCATGGCACATGTATACATATGTAACTAACCTGCACATTGTGCACACGTACCCTAAAACTTAAAGTATAATAATAATAAATAAATTAAAAAAAAAAAAGAGGCCGGGCGCGGTGGCTCACGCCTGTAATCCCAGCACTTTGGGAGGCCGAGGCGGGCGGATCACGAGGTCAGGAGATCGAGACCATCCCGGCTAAAACGGTGAAACCCCGTCTCTACTAAAAATACAAAAAAATTAGCCAGGCGTAGTGGCGGGCGCCTGTAGTCCCAGCTACTTGGGAGGCTGAGGCAGGAGAATGGCGTGAACCCGGGAGGCGGAGCTTGCAGTGAGCCGAGATCCCGCCACTGCACTCCAGCCTGGGTGACAGAGCGAGACTCTGTCTCAAAAAAAAAAAAAAAAAAAGAAAAGAAAGGCCAAACTCTAGTCAACCCTGGATCTTAAGATTTAAAACAAAAAAAGCTTTGCCAATTTCATCAGGGAATGATATTATTTAAATTTTGTTTGTCTTTGTTTACTAGTGATGTAAGACAATTTTTCACATTTTTCAAGCTTATTTGTTGATATGGTTTGGCTGTGTCCCTACTCAAATCTCAACTTGAATTATATCTCCCAGAATTCCCACGTGTTATGGGAGAGATCCAGGGGGAGGTAATTGAATCATGGGGGCTGGTCTTTCCTGTCCTATTCTCATGATAGTAAGTCTCACCAGATTTGATGAGTTTATTAGGGGTTTCCACTTTTGCTTCTTCCTCATTTTATCTTGCTGCCACCATGTAAGAAATGCATTTCACCTCACGCCATCATTCTGAGACTTCCCCAGCCATGTAGAACTGTAAGTCCAGTTAAACTTCTTTTTCTTCCCAGTCACGAAAATGGACTAATACAGGAAATTGGTACCAGTAGAGTGTGGTGTTGCTGAAAAGATACCCAAAAATGTGGAAGCGACTTTGGAACTGAATAACAGGTAGAGGTTAGACAGTTTGGAGGGCTCAAAAGAAGACAAGAAAATGTGAGAAAATTTGGAACTTTCTAGAGACTTGTTGAACAGCTTTGCCCAGAATGCTGATAGCGATATGGACAATAAAGTCCTGGCTGAGGTGGTCACAGATGGAGATGAGGAATTTTTGCAAACTGGAGCAAAGGTGACTCTTGTTATATTTAGCATTTTGTCCCACCCTAGAGATTTGTGGAACTTTGAACTTGAGACAGATGATTTAGGGTATCTGGCAGAAGAAATTTCTAAGCAGCAAAGCATTTAAGAGGTGACTTGGGTACTGTTAAGGGAATTCTGTTTCATAAGGGAAGTAGAGCATAAAAGTTTGGAAAATTTGCAGCCTGACAATGTGATAGAAAAGAAAAGCATACTTTCTAGGGAGAAATTCAAGTTGGCTGCAGAAATTTGCAGAAGCAGCAAGGAGCCTATGTTAATCCCCAAGACCATGGAGAAAATGTCTCCAGGCCATGTCAGAGATCTTCATGGCAGCCCCTCCCATCACAGGCCCAGAGGCTCAGGGGGGAAAAGTGGTTTCATGGGCCAGGCCCAGGGTCTCCATGTTATATGCAGCCTAGGGACTTGGTGCCCTGTGTCCCAGTCACTCCAGCCATGGCAGAAAGGGGCCAACGTACTGCTCGGGCTGTGACTTCAGAGGGTGCAAGACCCAAGCTTTGGCAGCTCTCACATGGTGTTGGGTCTGTGGGTGCACAGAAGTCAAGAATTGAGGTTTGGAAACCTCCGCCTAGATTTCAGAAGATATATGGAAACGTCTGGATGCCCAGGCAGAAGTTTGCTGCAGGGATGGGGCCCTCATGGAGAACCTGTGCTAGGGCAGTGCAGAAGGGAAATGTGGGGTCAGAGCCTCCACAGAGTCCCTACTGGGGCACTGCCTAGTGGACCTGTGAGAAGAGGGCTGCCATCCTTGAGAACCCAGAATATTAGATCCACCGACAGCTTGTACTGTTCACCTGGAAAAGCCACAGACACTCAATGCCAGCTCATGAAAGCCACTGGGAGGGAGGCTGTACCCTGCAAAGCCACAGAGGCAGAGCTGCCCAAGACCATAGGAACCTACCTGTTACATCAGCGTGACCTGGATGTGAGACCTGGAGTTAAAGGAGATCATTCATTTTGGAGCTTTAAAATTTGATGGCCCTGCTGGATTTTGGACTTGCATGGGCCCTATAACCCCTTTGTTTTGGCCAATTTCTCCCATTTGGCTGTTTTTACCCAATACCTATACCCTCATTGTATCTAGGAAGTAACTAACTTGCTTTTGATTTTACAGGCTCATAGTCCAAAGGGACTTGCCTTGTCTTAGATGAGACTTTGGACTGTGGACTTTGGGTTAATGCTGAAATGAGTTAAGACTTTTGGGGACTATTGGGAAGGCATGATAGGTTTTGAAATGTGTGAACATAAATTTGGAGGAACCAAGGTTGGAATGATATGGTTTGGCTCTGTGTCCCCACCCAAATCTCAACTTAATTGTATCTCCCAGAATTTCCATGGGTTGTGGGAGGGACCCAGGGTGAGGTAATTGGATCACGGGGGCTGGCCTTTCCCATGCTATTCTCATGATAGTGAATAAGTCTCATGAGATCTGATGAGTTTATTAGGGGTTTCCACTTTTGCTTCTTCCTCATTTTCTCTTGCCACCACCATGTAAGAGGTGCCTTTTACCTCCCACCATGATTCTGAGGCCTCACCAGCCATGTGGAACTGTAAATCCAATTAAACCTCTTTTTCTTTTTTTTTTTTGAGACAGAGTCTCACTCTGTCGCCCAGGCTGGAGTGCAGTGGTGTGATCTCGGCTTACTGCAAGCTCCGCCTCCCGGGTTCAGGCCATTCTCCTGCCTCAGCCTCCGGAGTAGCTGGGACTACAGGCGCCCGCCACCACGCCCAGCTAATTTTTTGTATTTTTAGTAGAGATGGGGTTTCACCGTGGTCCCGATCTCCTGACCTCGTGATCCACCCACCTCGGCCTCCCAAAGTGCTGGGATTACAAGCGTGAGCCACCGCACCCGGCCAAACCTCTTTTTCTTCCCAGTCTTGGGTATGTCTTTATCAGTAGCATGAAAACAGACTAATATATTTGTCATCTATGTTTGACCCACCAGTAGGCCCCCTTGAGGATGTGTCTTGATATAGAGTAACTTTTACAATGTGACAATTTCCCAACTAACCTGTGAGGCTCTCATTTTATAATCTTATAACCTGGCCAAGTGCAAAGTCCTGAACATCACTGATCCAGATACATTTAGTTGAATTGAGTATTCCAGTTTCCACATCTGATTTCTGCAATGAATTTTTGAGCAGAATTATCTGGCAGTCAGGAAAAGGAAGACATCAGATTGATCTCTTCTACTGTCTCAAAATGGCCTTAAGGTATCCTTCCTTTGCACTTCTGGGAATTAGGTAATTACATAAGAACATTTAAATGCATTTCTTTATTATTACTGCTTCTCTCTAGTGGTTATACGTTAAAATGTTCCCCTCGTCAAAGAAAAAAATCATTTTCATATTTGAGACATTGTAATTCCAAATGGGACTGCCTTCTCATCAGCAGCAAACATTTATAAAGCACCTACTGCATATCAGACATGGGGATGGTGTGGGGGAAAGAGTATGTACAAAGAGGATACCCATTTCATTCCCACAAGGAAGTTAGCCCTTAGCTGGTGAGGGAAAAAGCATAGTGAGGGGAGAATGCTATGGAAGGGGCATTGGGAATTGATGTTCTATGCCCAGGCCAGATCTAACTTACTGGGTAACCATGGATAAATCCCTTAACCTCTCTGCGCTTTCATTTTCTTACCTGGGAAGTTAAGAACATGAGATTATGTTTATACCATCCTCCCAACTGCATCATTCTATGAGCTACAGGGTTTAAGAAATAAAAAGATGGAGTAAGAAAGACAGACAGTCAGATTACTAAGTGGTCACTGCCAGACAGCAAGATGGGAACCACACAACAGGGAAGGGCTTAAAGGAGAGAAAGGGCATGTCCAGTTGAGGCAATGGAGGGGGATTTGTAGAGGGTGAAGTCTGGCTGGACCTTGTTGGGAGAGGGTTCAGTAGGTAGAGAAGATGGTGTGAAAAATGAAGTTAGAGAAATGGCATGAACAAAGGGTAGATGCCAAGGTAAGAAAGTGCCACACATGCTCTTGGGACCCTGAATAGAGCAGTTTAGCTAGAACAGAAGGTTCTTGTAAATTTCCAATGAGATTTCACCCTAATAATGAAATGATTTATGGGGAAGGTCTTGACTATACAGCATAGTTTAGCTTCAAGGCTTCATGTGCACCTGTGCCAGATGAGATTTTCAGGAACACTAAATGTGAGAGGAGAGCGCTGTGGTCTGTTAGTGCTATGCACTGGGATAAGAGTCAGGTGTGCGGCAAGGAGGGGCTCCTCTGTGACACGAGTTTGTCATTCCAGTCATAGGTTCCAGGATGAATCAAAGTTTTTGAACAAGGTCAACACAATGCAGTGTTTTAGGGTAACTCACCTGTGTGAAACACAGATTACGCTGGAGAAAGAAGAGATTAGAGGAAGGAAACTGGTTAGGAGGTTATCATAGTACTCAAGGCCCCGTGCCTAGCTTTGGGTACTGGCCATGGGCATGATAAAGCTATGGCCAAAGATGGTTGCTGGAATGGCCGATAGAAAATTCCTAAAAGGAAGTGATTATGCAGGACTAGAAGGTGGGAGAGGTGAGAAGTCCTGGGAAACTGCAGGCAGTGGAAATGCAGAATACAGAAGGGGAAAGGAGCACTAACTCCTCTTCTGAGCTGTAAGGAAGACAAGATATTGAAAAGTTCCAGGTGGAGGAAAGGAAGCTCATACCTTTGTCTTTTTCTTTCTTTTCAGTGTATGGTACAGTGGGAAGTAATCTATTGGCATGGCTGGGGGCATGAGTTTTGCAGCCAGACAGAATGATTTTTTAGTCATAAAGTTTTACTTCAATTCTCCCATGAGAATATTTTTAGAAAACACACGACTAAAATTTAAAAAGAAAAATTGCTGGATTAAACTAAAGGGGGAGAAAACTGTTAAAAATACAATGAAGAGTTGGCAAGAAAAAGGAATTTTCAGAGGCAGAATAAGTGAAAATAAGAATCAGAGAATTAAGCAGAGAAATGAAACCAGGTTTCACTTTGAGGATTTTAATTTAACCCAAATGAACTTGAGCTTCTATTCTTAATGGTTTCTATGGATGCACCAGAGAGGACCTAAAACCCAAATCCACACAAGATGGGAGGATGAGAGATCACCACTCTTCCACATTTAAGCTGGGCTCCCCTGGGGCCACATCCTCAGTGGTAATGTAAGCTAGAAATAGCCAGCTTCCCAGGGAGACACAAGAAAAACCGATTGCCTCAAACCTTGATACTGAGCGACGTAGAAAAACATCTATGAGAATTTATAACCACAAAACACTCTCTCAATAGGTTCTCAGCCCCAAAACAGCCCTATCAGAGTACTTTGGAAAATGAAAAACCCTTAGGGCAAGAATTTAAAGTGGCCCTGAGTTAGCAGTGGCCTCAGGCATCTGGCAGACACAAACATATGTTCTCCGTGGAAGAAAACACCTTAAATATGGGCTTCCAAGAATTTCCATAAAGTTCCAAGAAAATGTAACTCACTGTCAAAAACCACAATACTCACAAACAAACATGAATGAGAGCCAACAAGAAAACAGGCACCAGACACTAGAATCAGAACCACAAATCCTTCACATATAAGAATCATCAGACAAGTATCAGAACATACGTGTGTAGGTAAAGCAATTAACACTAAGAGAAGTAGGTAACTTGCCTAAGTTTGGCGAGCTGTAAGTGACAGCCGAAGTCTTTAGCCACAGTCTGAAATCAGGTCTGTCTGATGCTAAAGCTTTTTATTTTTTCTTTTAAAGGGAATACTTAATGCATTAAGTATACACCTGCCACAGCTTTGCCAATGTTTTATCATGTTTGCTTCATATTTTTGTAAAGAAATAAAATATATTTAATATATAAAATTGAAGCCCCATTTGCACCTCTGCCCCATACCATTTCCATCCCACATACCCTAGAAGTTTATAATACCCTTGCATGCTTTTGTCATTCTTCTGCAACTTGCTTTTCCCCTTACCACTGCATTTTTGAGTTTCATCTATGTTGAAACTTAGAGCTCATCTAGTTCATTTATTTTAATATTGTATAATTCTCTATTATTTGAAAATATACAAAGACTCATTTACTCACTTTTACAATAATGGAAATTTAGGTTTTCAATTTTGTACCGCACTTGGGGGTTTCTTTGGTATATACAGATGGCAGGAAGAGATGAGCATCTTTAACTTATTAGATATAGCCAGATGGATTTCCAAAGTTGCACAGTTATTATTATTATTATTTTGAGACAGAGTTTCACTCTGTTGCCCAGGCTGGAGTGCAGTGGCACAATCTCGGCTCACCGCAAAGTTGCACAGTTTTATGTTCCCACTAGCGATGCATCCAAGTTACTTCAGCTCCACATTCTTAACAATAGTCAGTATTGTGAGATGTTTTTATTTTTGCTAATATTACAGGTATGAAATTCTATCTCATTGTATTAATTTGCATTTTCCTGATTACTAGGGAGACTAAGCATTGTTTCAGATATTTATTGGCTTTTGGGTTTTCTCGTTAGTGACTTACCTATTCAAATCCTTTGCCCATTTTGCTATTGACTTCTTTGCCATTTTTCTTGCTGATTTGTAGAAGTCCTATTATATATTCTGGATACCAATTTTTCACTGGTAATAGATGCCAGTGAATCTATTAGTGAATATCTTTTCCCTATCCATGGTTTGTCTTTTCATTTTTAAAAAGCATATTTTGATGTGCAAAAGTTTTAATTTGGACACAATTTATTAATCTTTCCCTTTATGGTTTGTTCCTTGCATGTCTTGTTTAAAAAGCATTACTCTATTCAAGGTTATAAATATACTCTTCTATACTTCATGCTAGATGTTTTAATTCTGCTTTCCACATTTAGATCTTTAATCCATCTGGAATCCATGTACGTGTTTGATGTGAAATAGGAACGTAATTTTACTGTATGCTGTGTAGGTAACCAAGAACCCGTCCTTTCCCAGTTAATTTAGTAATATAATGTCAATGAAGACAAGGAAGATGATGATTCAGAAACTCACTAAGAACCAGGACATTTATCAGAATGTGGCAGAAATGTTTATTAAGTCCACTAGAACTGAACTGAACACATAATTGGCAGACAATCTGTTCTATGCTTCGGAAACTGAGCAAACTGGCCTGCTTTCAATAGAGGGAATGTCTTTAGTTTTTTTGCCACTGTATTTCAGAAAGTCAAAGTCTATTGGCCAGTCATAGGCACTGTCTTTTGAGGCAGCCATTGTGCTTTTCCCATTTTTCCAACTGCCAACCCCATCAATTTACTCTTGTTAAAATTCCTTCTCACAATATATATCTTATTCACTTTTGTATCCCCAAGTGCCATTTATACTATTTAACTCATACTTTTGAGTAAATGTTTTTTGCATAAATATCTTAAAAGAATCAGTCCCTTTCTTCATATATCCATCCAGGGATTGCGACCTTCAGAAAACAATTAGACAGAAAGCTATTTTCAGTCACACAACACATGCTGGAACATATAGTTCCCATAGCAAAAGCTGTAAATACAGGCAGAAACGTTCTGGGAAATAGTTTTGTTTCCTCTATTTGATTACCAAGAGCCAGGCACCGAGGGCAGAAAGCTCCACTTCATTTAGCAAAATCACATCAGAGTGACTGTCAGACACTGAGCATCAGGAGAGAGGCATACAGCTAAGGATGTGGGAAGGATGCCTGCCAATTCAACATGCTTATTGAACATCTGTAAAATGATAATGTCTGTGTTTTATACACCTGGCATCTAGTAGAAGCATATTAAACTGAAGTTTATCATTGTAGTTATTGTTTTTATGTGCCAGTTACTTACAAACCAGAGAATAATAAGACAAGGTTCTTATCCAAGTACATTTAAAAGGGTGGTTGGGGTGGGGTAGTAAGGCCTTCAGGAGGGAGAAGCAGACATGGAAAGGAGTGGGATGTTTGCTTTTGAATAATAGGTGAAATTTAAGCATGTGTGTAGACTGAGGGGAAGGAATCCAGGAAGAGAGAATAACAAAATCTAGGAGAATCAGAACATCATGCAGAAAGCTTCCAGTGAAGTGACAAGAAATTCCAATCAAGAGCTCAGATGGAGGAGTTACACTTGGAAAGCAGGGAAACTTCTCTTCTTAGAGAAGATTGGCAAAGGGCCAAAGAACTAGGGTGGACTTCAGATCTTCTGGGCTTCCGCACAAGAATAAATCCTGGTGACCCTGGCAAGGAGACAGCACAGTGGAGAGAAGATACTTTGGAGCCAAACAGACCCAGTGTTACATCCTAATTCACCACTTACAGCTTTGGACCCTTAATCAAATTTCTGATGTCTCTTATTTTCCTTTTCATCATCTGTAAGATGGAAATAAAACACAAGCAATGACATGAGTGTTTACATAAAATGCACATAATCGCAGGTAATTATTTAATGCACGTAATGGGCATAGCACTGTGTTGGGCAATAATCCGTGAGTGGTAGCAATCATTAAGAAGCTAAGAAAAAATGACACTAAATTCTGACCAAGTGAGTTTACAGCTTTGTATAAAAATAATTACTTGAGTAAAAATCTTTTAGAATCCTTTGTCTGCCTGAGAATGTTCCTTTATTTAAAAAAATTTCAAAGTAAGCCTTCCTGTATGTCTTCCCATTACTCTCTACCACACTCCCAACAACTGAAGATATTTTCTTTATTCAAATGTATTTAACTAATATTAAACAAGAACAGTTTTAAAAATCAGCTTTTTAAAAGAAACTTTTAAGAATAAAACAACTTTTAGAAAACATATTAAATACATATATTATTGAATATTAGTCATTTGGGTTAAATATATAATTTAATAAAATACATGAAGTTATATATTATATAATTTATTAAAATCAAGTAAAGTGTCTATAATATTTGGAGATTAATTTTTAATGCTGAATTCCCAAATTTAGAAAGATGTTGATTTTTTTTTGTTGAAACTTTGAAAGAGTAGAAAATTATTTATTTTCTTACTAAATAGAATGAACATTTAGAGATATGGCATGATGAACTACCCAATTATCATGTTATCAAAAATTTTTTAAAATAGTAGAGAAAGACTCACAATAAAAATGCAATAATCCCCTGCCCTACTTCTTCCTAGTTTGTTTCTCACCTCCACAGACAACCATTATTAATCATTTGTTTTTTGTCTTTCTGGAATTATCAACAGGAAGACTATAACAAAAAGTATATATTATACTTTCTCATACTATTTTTTAAAATTCTTGTCATTGAAAAGCTCAAACAAAATAATCACATAGCAATAACTAATTTAAAAACCTAACTCAAGATCATTTAAAGTGTACTCAGCTTCTAAAGAGCGTGTATCTATATTAAACAAGTTCTCTTTAAACATATGTGTATTAGTCCGTTTTCACACTGCTGATAAAGACATACCCAAGACTGGGCAATTTACAAAAGAAAGAGGTTTAACTAGACTTACAGTTCCACATGGCTGGGGAAGCCTCACAATCATGGTGGAAGACAAGGAGGAGCAAATCACATTTTACATGGATGGCAGCAAGCAAAAAGAGCTTGTGCAGAAAAACTCCCCCTTATAATGACCATCAGAACTCGTGAGACTTACTCACTATCACGAGCACAGCAAGGGAAAGACCTGCCCTGATGATTTAATTATCTCCTACCAGCTCCCTCCCACAACATGTGGGAATTCAAGATAAGATTTGGGTAGGACAAAGCCAAACCATATCATATGGTATAACTTAATTGGCAATGCATGACTCTAAATAGTCAAGTAGTTCAAATCAACAAAAATGGTCCAGGGTATGGCAACTTATGTATGCTTACAAGAAAAATTATTGACTGCCAAAATTATACTCACATTTTATTTATTTTTACCAGACTGTAGTGAAAGCATGCACCATATCACAGTCATGTATTGAAGTAGAAATAATATATCTCTCCCTGCTGAGCTACTAGGGAAATTTCAAATGGGTTCTGTGTAGTTCTTATTAAGAAGTGAGAGGCCGGGCGCAGTGGCACATGCCTGTAATCCTAGCACTTTGGGAGGCCGAGGCAGGCAGATCACGAGGTCAGTAGATCAAGACCATCCTGGCTAACATGGTGAAACCCCGTCTCTACTAAAAATACAAAAAATTAGCCAGGCATGGTGGCGAGTGCCTGTAGTCCCACCTACTCGGGAGGCTGAGGCAGGAGAATGGTGTGAACCCAGGAGGTGGAGTTTGCAGTGAGCCCAGATCGTGCCACTGCACTCCAGCCTGGGTGACAGAGTGAGGCTCCATCTCAAAAATAAATAAATAAATAAATAAATAAATAAATAAATAAGAAGAAGTGAGATTCTCCCTTCCTCCCCACAAGATAGTCAAGTGTCCAGCCCTTGTTCTGGCAGCTTGCTTTGCCCTCAGGTACATTGGATGGTGGTCTGATGGGCTGGCAACTGATGGGACTCACTCTACTCCAGCTGGGCACAGGGCCCTTTCCATGCTGTTCCCTGGGCCCTGTGTTGGACCATCTTCTTCCCTCCCTTTCTAGAACTCAGGCACTCCACTCTTTCCTCTCCCTCTTATGCTAGTCTCTCTTTTCACTCTTCCATCCTCTTCCGCAGTCTGAGTTGCCTCTAGTTTTTGGATATGGAGAATTTTGCTTTACAAGCTGGCTTCTAAAATAAGTAAGTTAGATTCATTGATTTTGGGGGTAGGAGAAGGAAAAAGCAGAGATTAGAAAGAGCATCAGGAAGAGAAAACAAGCTTACATCCTTATAGACATGGACCCAGCATACATGTATTACGTTGAAGACATTTTAAATATGGTTGTGAAAAATAGAAATATCTTAGTTATTGCATTCCTTTATAATTCATGACTCAAATTTGGAAGTGGAAATCTGATACCTTTTCTTCTGTTTCTAGCTGCCAGTCTTAGTTCTGGTATCTATTATAAAATTTTTGCCTTGGATTCTTTAATTGGAGGCAAAAGTTAGTTTTATTTAAAATGGAAAAGAGTGATTCACAAAGATATGTTCTTCTAAATATGAAAAGATACCATAATTTTTTGTTTAAAAATATTTTATTTTATTTTATTTTATTTTACTTTTTAGAGACAGGGTCTCACTCTGTCACCCAGGCTGGAGTGCAGTGGTACCATCATAGCTCAATGCAACCTCAAATTCCTGGGCTTAATTGATCCTCCCACGTCAGCCTCCCAAGTAGCTAGGACTACGGGCACCTGCTGTCAAGCCCAGCTAATTTCTTATTTTTATTTTTGAAGAGATGGGTGTCTCACTTCATTGCCCAGGCTGAACTGCTGGCCTCAACCAATCCTCCCACCTCAGGCTCTCAAAATAGTGGAATTGTGTGAGCCACCATGCCTGGCCCCAAGAAAAGGATTTTAGAGATATTTATAATGAATTTGATTTTCTAAGAGTCTGATGTTTCATTTTCAGTATTATATTGCATCACTGATCTATAGCTTCCATTTTTAGTTCTTCACTCATACTGTCAATATTCATTGAACAAAGAGAACAGGACAATGTTAATTAATTTTCTCTAAGTTTTAAGACAGAGAGCCTTTCCTTAAATCTATTTTCCAACTCCACAATTTTAGGAGTGTAGCTGCCTAGAACATCACTTTAATATCTGGGAACCAACTTCATTGCAGAAAAGTAGAACACATTTTTTTCTCATGAAATTAGTGATTTAAATCATACATTTATGCAACTATTGTTAAAACTCATGCAAAGAAATATGTTTGAATGGGAACTTCAAATCTAAAGGTTTGGTTCATTCTTCACTGGTGACCTAAGGTAAGAATTTTTGTCTTAGATAACATGAGCCATCTGATTTCTTTAAATCTAATCAACAAAAAATGTTACTTTGCATTTTCTTCTGTTCTAAGTTCCCTAAAAAAGTAATACTTGATAGGTAATTATGTTATTCACATAATCTAAAAACAGTGCCTGTTTTTTAAAACAGGAATGGATTTCATGAGCAGTTTATGCCTGATATAATTCAGTATTATTGCAAATGTTATTCATATATATCTTTTTCTTTGCATCAACTAATAGGCAAAATAACCAGCTAGCATCATAATGACAGGATCAAATTCACATATAACAATATTAACCTTGAATGTAAATGAGATAATGCCCCAAGTAAAAGACACAAGACTGCCAAATTGGATAGTCAAGACCCATCAGTGTGCTGTATTCAGTAGACACATATCATGTACAAAGACACACATAGGCTCAAAATAAAGGGATGAAGGAGAATTTACCAAGTAAATGGAAATAAAAAAAAGCATGAGTTGCAATCCTAATCTCTGATAAAACAGACCGTAAACCAACAAAGATCAAAAGAGACAAAGAAGGCCACTACCTAATGGTAAAGGGATCAATGCAGCAAGAAGAGCTACCTATCCTAAATATATACGCACCCAATACAGGAGGACCCAGATTCATAAAGAAAGCTCCTGGAGACCTACAAAGAGACTTAGACTCCCACACAATAATAGTGGAAGACTTTAACACCTCATTGTCAATATTAGACAGATCAACGAGGCAGAAAATTAACAAGGATATTTAGGACTTGAACTCAGCTCTAGACCAAGCGACATAATAGACATCTACAGAACTCTGTACCCCAAATCAACAGAATATATATTCTTCTCAGCACCTCATTGCACTTATTCTAAATTGACCATGTAATTGGAAGTAAAACACTCCTCAGCAAATGCAAAAGAATGGAAATTATAACAAACAGTCTCTCAGACCACAGTGCAATCAAATTAGTACTCAGGATTAAGAAACTCACTCAAAACCACACAACAACAGGGAAACTGAACAACCTGCTCCTGAATGACTACTGGGTAAATAACGAAATGGAGGCAGAAATAAAGATGTTCTTTGAAACCAATCAGAACGAAGACACAACGTTATCAGAATCTCTGGGACACATTTAAAGCAGTGTGTAGAAGGAAATTTATAGCACTAAATGCCCACAAGAGAAAGCAGGAATGATCTAAAATTGTCACCCTAACATCACACTTAAAAGAACTAGAGAAGCAAGAGCAAACAAATTCAAAACCTAGCAGAAGGCAAGAAATAACTAAGATCAGAGGAAAACTGAAGGAGATACAGACACAAAAAAACCCTTCAAAAAAATCAATCAATCCAGGAGCTGGGTTTTTGAAAAGATCAACAAAATATATAGACCTTTAGCCAGACAAATAAGAAAAGAGAGAAGAATCAAATAGATGCAAAAAAAAAAAAAAAAAGATATAGAGGATATCACCACTGATCCCACAGAAATATAAACTACCATCAGAGAATATTATAAACACCTCTATGCGAATAAACTAGAAAACCTAGAAGAAATGGATAAATTCCTGGACACATACACTCTCCCATGTCTAAACCAGGAAGAAATAAAATCCCTGAATAAACCAATAACAAGTTCTGAAATTGAGGCAGTAATTAACAGACTACCAACCAAAAAAAGTCCAGCACCAGACAGATTCACAGCCGAATTCTATCAGAGGTACAAAAAGGAGCTGCTGGTATCATTCCTTCTGAAACTATTCCTAACCATAGAAAAAGAGGGAATCCTCCCTAACCCATTTTATTTATTTTTATTTGTTATTTTTAAAATTTTTTTATTATACTTTAAGTTCTAGGGTACATGTCCACAACATGCAGGTTTGTTACATAGGTATACATGTGCCATGTTGGTTTGCTGCACCCATCAACTCGACATTTACATTAGGTATTTCTCCTAATACTATCCCTCCCCCTCCCCAACAGGCCCCAGTGTGTGATGTTCCCTGCCCTGTGTCCATGTGTTTTCATTGTTCAACTCCCACCTATGACTGAGAACATGCAGTGTTTGGTTTTCTATCCTTGTGATAATTTGCTGAGAATGATGGTTTCCAGCTTCATCCATGTCCCTGCAAAGGACATGAACTCATCATTTTTTATGGCTGCATAGTATTCCATGGTGAATATGTGCCACATTTTCTTAATCCAGTCTATCGTTGATGGACATTTGGGCTGGTTCCAAGTCTTTGGTATTGTGAATAGTGCCGCAATAAACATACATGTGCATGTGTCTTTATAGTAGAATGATTTATAATCCTTTGGGTAAATACCCAGTAATGGGATCGCTGGGTCAAATGGTATTTCTAGTTCTAGTTCCTAGAGGAATTGCCACACTATCTTCCACAATGGTTGAACTAATTTACACTCCCACCAACACTGTAAAAGCGTTCCTACTTCTCCACATCCTCTGCAGCATCTGTTGTTTCCTGACTTTGTAATGATTGCCATTCTAATTGGTGTGAGATGGTATCTCATTGTGGTTTTGATTTGCATTTCTCTGATGACCAGTGATGATGAGCATTTTTTTATGTGTCTGTTGGCTGCATAAATGTCTTCTTTTGAGAAGTGTCCATATACTTTGCTCAATTTTTGATGGGGTTGTTTGTTTTTTTCTTGTAAATTTATTTAAGTTCTTTGTAGATTCTGGATATTAACCCTTTGTCAGATGGGTAGAGTGCAAAAAAATTTCTCCCATTCGGTAGGGTGCCTGTTCACTCTGATGATAGTTTCTTTTGCTGTGCAGAAGCTCTTTAGTTTAATTAGATCCAATTTGTCAATTTTGGCTTTTGTTGCTATTGCTTTTGGTGTTTTAGTCATGAAGTCCTTTCCCATTCCCATGTCCTGAAAGGTATTGCCTACATTTTCTTCTAGGGTCTTTAATCCATCTTGAATTAATTTGTGTATAAGGTGTAAGGAAGGGATCCAGTTTCAGCTTTCTACGTATGGCTAGCCAGTTTTCCCAGCACCATTTATGGAATAGGGAATCCTTTCCCCATGTCTTGTTTTTGTCAGGTTTGTCAAAGATCAGAAGGTTGTAGATGTGTGGTGTTATTTCTGAGGCCTCCGTTTTGTTCCATTGGCCTATGTATCTGTTTTGGTACCAATACCATGCTGTTTTGGTTACTGTAGCCTTGTAGTATAGCTTGAAGTCAGGTAGCGTGATGCCTCCAGCTTTGTTCTTTTTGCTTAGGATTGTCTTGGCTATGCAGGCTCTTTTTTGGTTCCATATAAACTTTAAAGTAGTTTTTTCCAATTCTGTGAAGAAAGTCATTGGTAGCTTGATGGGCATGGCATTGAATCTATACATTACCTTGGGCAGTATGGCCATTTTCACGATATTGATTCTTCTTATCCATGAGCATGAAATGTTTTTCCATTTGTTTATGTCCTCTTTTATGTCATTGAGCAATGGTTTGTAGTTCTCCTTAAAGAGGTCCTTCACATCCCTTGTGAGTTGTATTCCTAGGTATTTTATTCTCTTTGTAGCAATTGTGCATGAGAGTTCACTCGTGATTTGGCTCTCTGTTTGTCTGTTATTGGTGTGTAGGAATGCTTCTGATTTTTGCACATTGATTTTGCATCCTGAGACTTTGCTGAAGTTGCTTATCAACATAAGGAGATTTTGGGCTGAGATGATTGGGTTTTCTAAATATACCATCATGTCATCTGCAAACAGGAACAATTTGACTTCCTCTTTTCCTAATTGAATACTCTTCATTTCTTTCTCTTGCCTGATTGCCCTGGCCAGAACTTCCAATACTATGTTGAATAGGAGTGGTGAGAGAGGGCCACCTTGCCTTGTGCCAGTTTTCAAAGGGAATGCTTCCAGTTTTTGCCTGTTCAGTATGATATTAGCTATGGGTTTGCCATAAATAGCTCTTATTATTTTGAGATACGTTCCATCAATACCTAGTTTATTGAGAGTTTTTAGCCTGAAGGGCTGTTGAATTTTGCCTTTTCTGCATCTATTGAGATAATCATGTGGTTTTTGTCATTGGTTCTGTTTATGTGATGGATTACATTTATTGATTTGTGTATGTTGAACCAGGCTTGCATCCCAGGGATGAAGCCAACTTGATCGTGGTGGTTACGTTTTTTGATGTGCTGCTGGATTCACTTTGCCAGTATTTTATTGTGGATTTTTGCATCGATGTTCATCAGGGATATTGGTCTAAAATTCTCTTTTTTTGTTGTGACTCTACCAGGCTTTGGTATCAGCATGATGCTGGCCTCATAAAATGAGTTAGGGAGGATTCCCTCTTTGTCTATTGTTTGGAATACTTTCAGAAGGAATGATACCAGCTCCTGTTTGTACCTCTGGTAAAATTCAGCTGTGATTCCATCTGTTCCTGGACTTTTTTTGGTTGGTAGGCTATTAATTATTACCTCAATTTCAGAACCTGTTATTGGTCTATTGAGAGATTCAACTTCTTCCTGGTTTAGTCTTGGGAGGGGGTATGTGTCCAGGAAATATCTATTTCTTCTAGATTTTCCAGTTTATTCATGTAGAGGTGTTTATAGTATTCTCTGATGGTAGTTTGTATTTCTGTGGGATCGGCGGTGATATCCCTTTTATCATCTTTTATTGTGTCTATTTGATTCTTCTCTTTTTCCTTCTTTATTAGTCTTGCTAGTGGTGTATCTATTTTGTTGATCTTTTCTGAAAAACAGCTCCTGGATGCACTGATTTTTTTGAAGCGTTTTTCGTGTCTCTGTCTCCTTCAGTTCTTCTCTGATCTTAGTTATTTCTTGCCTTCTGCTAGGTTTTGAATGTGTTTGCTCTTGCTTCTCTAGTTCTTTTAAGTGTGATGTTAGGGTGACAATTTTAGATCTTTCTTGCTTTCTCTTGTGGGCATTTAGTGCTATAAATTTCCATCTACACACTGCTTTAAATGTGTCCCAGAGATTCTGGTACACTGTGTCTTCATTCTGATTGGTTTCAAAGAACATCTTTATTTCTGCATTCATTTCGTTATTTACCCAGTAGTCATTCAGGAGCAGGTTGTTCAGTTTCCATGTAGCTGTGTGGTTTTGAGTGAGTTTCTTAATCCTGAGTACTAATTTGATTGCACTGTGGTCTGAGAGACAGTTTGTTGTGATTTCTGTTCTTTTACATTTGCTGAAGAATGTTTTACTTCCAATTATGTGGTCAATTTTAGAATAAATGTGATGTGGTGCTGAGAAGAATGTATATTCTGTTGATTTGGGGTGGAGAGTTCTGTAGATGTCTATTAGGTCTGCTTGATGCAGAGCTGATTTCAAGTCCTGGATATCCTTGTTAACCTCCTGTCTTGTTGATCTGTTTAATATTGACAGTGGGGTGTTAAAATCTCCCACTATTATTGTGTGGGAGTCTAAGTCTCTTTGTAGGTCTCTAAGGACTTGCTTTATGAATCTAGGTGCTCCTGTATTGGGTGCATACAAATTTAGGATAGTTAGCTCTTCTTGCCATCTTAATCCCTTTACCATTATGTAGTGGCTTTCTTTGTCTCTTTTGATCTTTGTTGGTTTAAAGTCTGTTTGTCAAAGACTAGGATTGCAACCCCTGCTTTTTTTTTTTGCTTTCCATTTGCTTGGTAAATATTCCTCCATCCCTTTATTTTGAGCCTATGTGTGCCTCTGCATGTGAGATGTGTCTCCTGAATGCAGCACACTGATGGGTCTTGACTCTTTATCGAACTTGGCAGTCTGTGTCTCTTAATTGCAGCATTTAGCCCATTTACATTTAAGGTTAATGTTGTTATATGTGAATATGATCCTGTCATTATGATGTTAGCTAGTTATTTTGCCCATTAATTGATGCAGTTTCTTAATAGCATTGATGAGTTTACAATTTGGTATGTTTTTGCAGTGGCTGGTACCAGTTGTTCCTTTCCATGTTTAGTGCTTCCTTCAAGAGCTCTTGTAAGGCAGGCCTCTTGGTGACATAATCTCCCAGCATTTGCTTGTCTGTAAAGGATTTTTTTCTCCTTTGCTTATGAAGCTTAGTTTGGCTGGATATGAAATTCGGGGCTGCAAATTCTTTTATTTAAGAATGTTGAATATTGGCCCCCACTCTCTTCTGGCTTGTAGGGTTTCTGCTGAGAGATGTGCTGTTAGTTTGATGGACTTCCCTTTGTGGGTAACCTGACCTTTCTCTGTGGCTGCCCTTAATATGTTTTCCCCTCATTTCAGCCTTGGTGAATCTGACAATTATGTGTCTTGGGGTTGCTCTTCTTGAGGAGTATCTTTGTGGCGTTCTCTGTATTTCCTGAATTTGAATGTTGGCCTGCCTTACTAGGTTGGGGAAGTTCTCCTGGATAATATCCTGAAGAGTGTTTTCCAACTGGGTTCCATTTTCTCCATCACTTTGAGGTACACCAGTCAAATGTCGATTTGGTCTTTTCACATAGTCGCATATTTCTTGGAGGCTTTCTTCTTTTCTTTTCATTCTTTTTTCTCTAATATTGTCTTCTCACTTTACTTCATTAATTTGATCTTCAATCACTGAGATATTTTCTTACACTTAATCGAATCAGCTATTGAAGCTTGTGCATGCATCACAAAGTTCTCGTGCTGTGGTTTTCAGCTCCATCAGTTCACTTAAGGTCTTCTTTACACTCTTTATTCTAGCTAGCAATTTGTCTGACCTTTTTTCAAGGTTTTTAGCTTCCTTGCAATGGGTTAAAACATGCTCCTTAGCTCAGAGAAGTTTGTTATTACCAACCTTCTGAAGCCTACTTCTGTAAACTCATAAACTCCTTCTCCATCCAGTTTTGATCCATCAATGGTGAGGAGCTGTGATCCTTTGGAAGAGAAGAGGTGCTCTGGTTTTTGGAAGTGTCAGCTTTTCTGCTCTGGTTTCTCCCCATCTTTGTGATTTTATCTACCTTTGGTCTTTGATGTTGGTTACCTACAGGTGGGGTTTTGCTGTGGATGTCCTTTTTGTTAATTTTGATGCTATTCCTTTCTGTTTGTTAGTTTTCCTTCTAAAGTTCAGGCGTCTCAGCTGCAGGTCTGTTGGAGTTTGTTTAGGTCCACTCCAGACCCTGTTTGCCTGGGCATCACCAGTGGAGGCTGCAGAACAGCAAATATTTCAGAACAGCAAATATTGCTGCCTGATCCTTCCTCTGGTTGCCTCATCCCAGAGGGGCACTTGCCTGTATGAGGTGTCTGTCGGCCCCTACTGGGAGGTGTCTCCCAGTCAGGCTACATGCGGGTCAGGGGCCCACTGGAGAAGGCAGTCTGCCCATTCTCAGAGCTCAAACGCTGTGCTGGGAGAACCACTGCTCTCTTCAGAGCTGTCAGACAGGGATGTTTAAGTCTGCAGAGGTTGTCTGCTGCCTTTTGTTCAGCTATGTCCTGACCACAGAGGTGGACTCTAGAGAGTCGGTAGGCATTGCTGAGCTGCAGTGGGCTCTGCCCAGTTCAAGCTTCCCGGCCACTTTGTTTACCTACTCAAGCCTCAACAATGGCGGATGCCCCTCCCCTTGCCAGGCTGCAGTGTCACAGGTTGATCTCAGACTGCTGCACTAGTAGTGAGCAAGGCTCCGTGGGCGTGGGACCCCCAAGCCAGGCACAGGAGGGAATCTCCTGGTCTGCCAGTTGCTAAGACTGTGGGAAAAGTGCAGTATTTGGACAGGAATGTACCATTCCCCTAGGTACAGACTGTCATGGCTTCCCTTGGCCAGAAAAGGGAAATACCCTGACCCCTTGTGCTTCCGGGGTGAGGCGACGCCCCACCCTGCTTCAGCTCACCTAAGTGGGCGGCACCCACTCTCCAACCAGTCACAATGAGATAAACCATGTACCTCAGTTGGAAATGCAGAAATCTTCCATCTTCTGTGTCAATCTCGCTGGGAGCTGCAGACTGGAGCTGTTCGTATTTTGCCATCTTGGAAGCGACCCCCCTAACCCATTTTATGAGGATAGCATCATCCTGATACCAAAGTCTGGCAGAGACACAACAAAAAAAGAGAATTTCAGGCCAATATGCCTGATGAACATCAATGCAAAAATCCTCAATAAAATACTGGCAAAGCAAATCCAGCAGCACATCATAAAGCTTATCCACTATGATCAAGTCAGCTTCATCCCTGGGATGCAAGGGTGGTTCAACATACACAAATCAATAAACATAATCCACATAAACAGAACCAATGACAAAAACCACATGATTATCTCAATAGATGCAGAAAAGGCCTTCGACAAAATTAAACAGCCCTTCATGCTAAAAACTCTCAATAAACTAGGTATCAGTGGAACGTATCTCAAAATAATAAGAGCTATTTATGACAAACTCACAGCCAATAGCATATTGAATAGGCAAAAACTGGAAGCATTCCCTTTGAAAACCATCACGAGACAAGGATGCCCCCTCTCACCACTCCTATTCAACATAGTGCTGGAAGTTCTCCTCAGGGAAATCAGGCAAGACAAAGAAATTAAGGGTACTCAAATAGGAAGTAAGGAAGTCAAATTGTTCCTGTTTGCAGATGACATGATGTATATTTAGAAAACCCCATCGTCTCAGCCCAAAATCTCCTTATGCTAACAAGCAACTTCAGCAAAGTCTCAGGATACAAAATCAATGTGCAAAAATCAGAAGCATTCCTATACACTAATAAGAGACAAACAGAGAGCCAAATCACAAGTGAACTGCCATTCACAATTGCTACAAAGGGAATAAAATACCTAGGAATACAACTTACAAGGGATGTGAAGGACTTCTTCAAAGAGAACTACAAACCATTGCTCAAGAAAATAAGAGAGGACATAAACAAATGGAAAAACATTTCATGCTCATGGATAGGAAGAATTGATATCATGAAAATGGCCATATTGCCCAAAGTAATTTATAGATTCAGTGCTATCCCCATCAAGCTACCAATGACTTTCTTCACAGAATTGGAAAAAACTACTTTAAAATTTATATGGAACCAAAAAAGAGCCTGCATAGCCAAGACAATCCTGGGCAAGAAGAACAAAGCTGGAGGCATCATGCTACCTGAATTCAAGCTATACTACAAGGCTACAGTAACCAAAACAGCATGGTACTGGTACCAAAACAGATATATAGACAAATGGAACAGAACAGAGGCCTCAGAAATAACACCACACATCTACAACCTTCTGATCTTTGACAATCCAGACACAAGCAATGGGGAAAGGATTCCCTATTTAATAAATGGTGTTGAGAAAATTGGCTAGCCATATGCAGAAAACTGAAACTGGATCCCTTCCTTACACCTTATACAAAATCAACTCAAGATGGATCAAAGACTTAAACGTTAAGCCCCAGGACTATAAAAATACTAGAAGAAGACCTGGGCAATACCATTCAGGACATAGGCATGGGCAAAGACTTCATGTCTAAAACACCAAAAGCAATGGCAACAAAAGCCAAAATTGACAAATGGGATCTAATTAAACTAAAGAGCTTCTGCACAGCAAAAGAAACTATCATCAGAGCGAACAGGCACCCTACAGAAAGGGAGAAAATTTTTGCAATCTACTCCTCTGACAAAGGGCTAATATCCAGAATCTGCAAGGAACTTAAACAAATTTACAAGAAAAAAAAAACAACCCCATCAAATAGTGGACAAAGTATATGAATAGACACTTCTCAAAGGAAGACATTTATGCAGCCAACAGACATATGAAAAAATGCTAATCATCACTGGTCATTAGAGAAATGCAAACCAAAATCGCAATGAGATACCATATCATACCAGTCAGAATGGCAATCATTAAAAAGTCAGGAAACTTTTAATGCTGCAGAGGATGTGGAGAAATAGGAATGCTTTTACATTGTTGGTGGGAGTGTAAATTAGTTCAACCATTGTGGAAGACAGTGTTGCGATTCCTCAAGGATCTAGAACTAGAAATACCATTTGACCCAGCGATCCCATTACTGGGTATTTACCCAAAGGATTATAAATCATTCTACTATAAAGACACATGCACATGTATGTTTATTGCGGCACTATTCACAATACCAAAGACTTGGAACCAGCCCAAATGTCCATCAACGATAGACTGGATTAAGAAAATGTAGCACATATTCACCATGGAATACTATGCAGCTATAAAAAAGGATGAGTTCATGTCCTTTGCAGGGACATGGATGAAGCTGGAAACCATCATTCTCAGCCAACTATCACAAGAGTAGAAAACCAAACACTGAATGTTCTCACTCATAAGTGGGAGTTGAACAATGAGAACACATGGACAGAGGGAGGAGATCATCACACACTGGGGTCTGTCGGGGGTGGGGGCTTAGGTGAGGGATAACATTAGGAGAAACACCTAATGTAGGTGATAGGTTGATGGGTGTAGCAAACCACCATGGCACGTTTATACCTATGTAACAAAAGTGCATATTCTGCACATTGACCCCAGAACTTAAATTATAATAAAAAAGAAAGAAAGTATAAGAAAAAGAAACAGGAATAGATTTCATGAGCAGATTATGCCTGATATAATTCAGCTTTATTGCAAATGTTATTAATATATATCTTTTTTCAATATTTTCAGCCTTTGATTCAAAAGATACACAACTTCAATCTCCCTACCAAGTTTATCTAATAGCTCTTGCTCTTTTTAATAAGAAACAAATTTGTGTTTTAATTGGTGTATTTTTATTTGATATATATTTCAATTGATGTTTTCATTTTTTGCTTATTAATAGCTGCATGTATATATTTATTTAATCTTTACCATTAAAACAAGATCACAGTTACCATCTTCACTGCTGAGCACCCTACCTGGTATGCCTAAATACCAAACTTTTCTAGTATACTGGGAAATGCTGTTGTAATCCTTTTAACGTAATGACCCCTAGAATGTAAAAAGCTTTTAAGAAAAAATGCCAAGTGAACATTAGAGTGCCAACTAAGGCAACAGAAACACTTTCAAATTTTAATCTTGTATTTTACATAGATTTATTAGTATTTCTAAATCATATTACAAATGAAGTATTTTTTTCCAAGAGGTAAAATAAGATTAATTATTGTTTTGCTGTTGCTATTGAACTATTTTATGGTTTCATTTCTTTTAGTAAATCCATGGAGTTTTGATTATTGATTTATATAGTAAAAACTACGAATAAATAGTCTAGACCCAGTTATTTTTTAAATAAGAATGTAAAAGCAATCAGGTATTAAAGAGATCAGTTGAATCCTTGGTGAAGGAAATTAGCAGCAATCTGAAAGGGATGGCGTATAGAATCTATGAAATTAAATCAGAAGATAAAAGAAGAGTAAGAATCAGATAAAACCTTAACATGATTGAAACTGGAAGATGCTCAGAGATCTATGACACTGCAGACTTGCATAGCTGAGACCTAGCTTAAACTCAGCCTTAGGGTCCCCCATTTACCTGGCTGGCGATTCCTAACTGTAGGAAAGGGTTTGGCATGTTCACTTCTAGTTCAGGTAAATTTACCCAGGAAATATGTAGTGCCCATGTTTCATGTCCTGGTATCCAACTGCTGCTCCCTAAGTGAAGAAGATGAACTTACCCCTTGTCCTGCTGCAACATCATATACCACAGTCAGAAAAAAACAAAAGTTCTTCGCTATTTAAAATAAAAACTTCAAAAAGGTACTATCTTTAGCAATAGGTGAAACTGATTCTCTTACAAAAATAAATGTGACCATGAAATTTGCATAGCTGACTTCTACAGATTGTGATGATTCTAGGAGATACTAATCAAATGAAGGGAAAAAAATTTTGCTTTCCTGCCATGAACAGATTAACTTTGGTAACTTTTGGAGTATTGTTGTATTTTTGATTTGGTGAACTAATTCTTTTTAAATCTGAAGTTTGAAAGTAAGAGTCATTTTATTTTCTCAATGCTTTTGTTTCTGAGTATTTCCTTAACATAAGTAATTATTTCACGGTCCAAAATATTCTATCTAGTAACCTCAGCCCATCTTAGATGTTAACTCTGATGATAAAGTTTGTATTCATTGGGATGAGCCCTGCATATTTTGTTATTTAAGGTGTTTGCAAAAGCTAACTTGTTAGAGCATCTGATATTCCGAACATGTGATTTTTTATCTGAAATGTGTAATTTATGTTACATTTGTGATTTGGATTAGCATGTGTAGAATTTTATTAAATCTGTAAACTGATTCTGAATGTTTAAGAGAATTTGATTTACAAGAGTTAAGTACTAAGAATGATCTTGCTGATGTGTTTTGTTTGGCTACCTCAATCTATGTTTGAAGTGTTCAAGAAGGTCAGATACATTATATCTGTACTTGTTGCTTTAAATGATAAAAGTTGTAATTCTCCAAGTGTGGTTCCCACATCAGTAGCATCAGCATCATCTGGAAAAGTGTTAAATGTGCATATTTAACCTCAGACTTACTATATCAGAAACTGTAGGGATGGAGTCCAGCAGTTTGTGTTTTAATAAACTCTCTAGACTTTTGAGAACCACTGGCTTGAGGTAACTTAATTAAATAAGTTTATAAATAGGTTATTTGTTCAGGGGAATTTAAACTGTTAGGGGAACATTAGTTAAAGAGTACTTGAGGCCAGGCGCTTTGGCTGACACCTGTCATCCCAGCACTTTGGGAGGCCAAGGCAGGCAGATCATGAGGTCAGGAGTTTGAGACCACACTGGCCAGCATGGTGAAACCCCATCTCTACTAAAAATACAAAAAATTAGCTGGGCATGGTGGCACGTGCCTGTAATCCCAGCTACTTGGGAGGCTGAGGCAGGAGAATAGCTTGAACCTGCGAGGTGGAGGTTGCAGTGAGTGGAGACTGTGCCACTGCACTCCAGCCTGGACAACAGAGTGAGACTCTGTCTCAAAAAAAAAAAGTGTTTGATTTTTCTTAAGAGATTTAAAATTATTTTATTTATAAATGGAAAATCATGATTTTTTTAGTTGAACCCAATGCCTTAAAAAACTAGGTTTTAACATTTTTGACTTTAATATATTTAATATTAATTTAAATACAAGCAATGATAAGCAGTTTTTCAGCACATGAAAGTCCTTTTTGAATTTTAGAAAATTCAACTAATGAAGACCTAGATATATTTTAATTTTGCTTGTGTATTTCCCTGGTGACACCAATGTCAGGTCCAACAATTACGTGAGCTTAGGGTTCCTTCCTCCTCATTTCATATGTTTCAAAAATATAGGAAAAAAAGATATGCTAGGTTAGAAAAGTTATAACAAAGGAAGAGTTTTAAGGCTGGTTAGTAAACCAGCATGCTTTAAGAATTGCAGATCATAGTACTAAGAACTGACCACTTCAAAATTACTCATATTCTGTCTAGTGCTAAATTGTTTTCCAAATGTCACAGGAACAATTTTCATTATAATAGAGCTCCTGGTGCTTTATATCTCCACAGTAAAGTGGTGGTGCCAAGTACTGCATTTTTAGTTTTATAATTCTTCTAAATTTGTTCAAAATATTCAATGATAATAAACTACATAACCTATGTTACTTTTGTGTGGCAAAAGATTTTAGTAGTTCTGGGAAATCAATGGCCATAGAAATTACGCTTAGAACATGTAGCACTTGACAATAAAAGTATTGCTACTGACAATAAAATGTATTGTTGCTGACAATAAATGGCATTGTTACTGATAGATATGACAGAAAGTTTGTTAAAGTGTATCAAGATATACTGGACTTATTCAACTGTTAGTCATTTCTGCCAAACCACTTTAGAGGTAGAGCTATTTTTCTCTTGAATCCTCAAGACTTTGTAGTGTACTTAAAATCAATTTTACTACATTAGGGATTCTGCATTAATATGAATCCTAACCATCTCACATTTATGACAGTTCAAATAAAGACATAATATACTATAAAGTACATAAGGTACTTTTCTTTTTATCCACTGTAATTTCCCTTCTGCTCCCTGAAGCAGTGTTTGACCTTAGGAAGCCATTTTCTTCCTGAAATATTCTCACACTTTTAGTGATGATTTTCAGTTAGCTCCTACCAACTTATGAGAGCCAGTTGTTAATTTTTCAGGAATTCCATGAGCCAGTTGATTAAACTAGCCATTATTAAACATTAAAGTACAACAATTTACAATTAGATAAGTTACATATTTTTATTAATACATAATAATTATACACATTTATGGAGTACATGTGATATTCTATTACATCCATAGAATGTGTAATGATCAAGTCAGGGTATTTAGGATATTCATCACCTTGAGCATTGATCATTACCATGTGTTGGGAACATTTCAAGCCCTCTTCTCTTGCTATTTTGTAATATATAATGCATTATTGTTAGCTATAATCATCCTAGTCTGCTATTGAACATTAGAACTTATTCCTTCTATCTAACTCTATGTTTGTACCCATTAACCATCTCTTCTTCATCTCCCTACCCCTACACATAACCTTCCCAGCCTCCTGTAACTATATTCTACTTTCTACCCCCATGAGATAAACGTTTTTAGCTCCCACATATGAGTGAGAACATGTAATATTTGTCTTTCCATGCCTGGTTTATTTCACTTAACATAATGACCTCCAGTTCCATCCATGTTGCTGCAAATGACAGAATTTCATTCTTTTTTCACAGCTGAATAATATTCCATTGTGTATATATGCCATATTTTCTTTATCTATTCAACCATTGATAGACACTTGGGTTGATTCCATATCTTTGCTATTGTGAACAGTGCTGCAATAAAAATGGGGGTGCAAGTATCACTTTAATATACTGATTTCCTTTCCTTTGGAAAAATACCCAGGACAGAATTGCTGGATAATATGGTAGCTCTATTTTTTTAGTTTTTGACAAATCTGCATACTGTTTCCATAATGACTGTATTAATTTATGTTCCTACCAACAGTATATAAGAGTTCCCTCTTCTCCACATCCTTGTCAGCATCTGTTTTTTTGTTTTATTTTATTTTTTTGATAACAGCCATTCTAGCTGGGGTAGGATGATATCTCATTGTGGTTTTGATTACTGCATTTCCTTGATGAATAGTGATGTGCAGTTTTTCGTATAACTGTTGGCCATTTGTATGTCTTTTTTTGAAAAATGTCTATTCAGATCTTTTGCCTGTTTTTTAATGGGATTGTTTGATTTTTTGCTATTGAGTTGTTTGACCTCCTTGTATATTCTGTATATTAGTCCCTTGTTAGGTGGATAGTTTGCAAATATTTTGTTCCATTCAACAGGATGTCTCTTCACTATGTTGATTGCTTCCTTTGCTGTGAAGAAGCATTTAATTTAATATAGTCTCATTTATCCATTTTTGTTTTCATTGCCTGGGGTTTTGAGGTCTTAGCTATAAAATCTTTGCTTAGACCAATGTCCTGAAGTGTTTCCTCTATGTTTTCCTCTAGTAGTTAGTTTCAGGTCTTATAGTCAAGTCTTTAATCCATTCTGAATTGATTTTTGTATGTGGTGGGAGATAGGGGCCTAGTTTCATGCTTCTGCATAAGAATATCCAGTTTTCCCAGCACCATTTACTGAAGATAGTGTCCTTTCCCTAATGTATGTTCTTGGCACCATTATCAAAAATCAGTTGGCTATAAATACATGGATTTATTTCTGGGTTCTCTAATCTCTTCCGTTAGTCTATGTGCCTGTTTTTATACCAATACTATGCTACTTGGTATTGGCCACTATAACCTTGTGATATATTTTAAAGTCAGGGCATGCAATGCTTCCAGCTTTGTTCATTTTGCTCAGAATTCCTTTGGCTATTTGGGCTCTTTTTTAGTTCCATATGAATTTTAAGATTGTTTTTTCTATATGTGAAGAATGTCATCAGTATTTTGATAGAGATTATATTGAATCTGTGGATTGCTTTTGATAGGATGGTCATTTTAACAATTTTTTTTTCCAATCCATGAGCATGAAATATCTTTCTATTGCTTGGTGTTCTCTTCAATTTCTTTCATCAGCATTTTGTAGTTTTCCTTGTAGAATCCTTTTACTTTCTTGGTTAAATTTATTCCTAGGGTTTTTTTGTAGCTATTGTAAATAGGATTGCCTTCTTGATTTCTTTTTCTTTTAGTTCATTATTAGTGTATAGAAATGCTATGACTATTGTATGTTGATTTTGTATATTGAAATTTTATTTAAGTTATTTATCAAATCTAAGAGTTTCTCGGTGGAGTCTTTGGGTTTTTCTAAATATAAGGTTATGTCATCTGCGACGAGGGATAGTTTAACTTTCTCTTTTCCAATTGGGGTGCCTTTTATTTATTTATCTTGACTAATTGCTCTGGCTATACTTCCAGTACTATGTCGAATAGGAGTGGTGAAAATAGGATGGGCATTCTTGTCTTGTTCCAGTTCTTAAAGGAAAAACTTTCAGCCTTCCCCCATTCAGTATGATGTTAGCTGTGGGTCTGTCATATTTGGTCTGCATTATGTTGAGGTATTTTCCTTCTACATCTGGTTTGTTGGGAGTTTGTTTTATCATGAAGTGATGTTGAATTTTATCAGATGCTTTTTCTGTGTCTATTGAAATGACCATAAGGTTTTAGTCCTTAATTCTGTTAATGTGATGGATCACATTTATTGATTTGCATATGTTGAACTATCCTTGCATCCCTGGAAGAAATCCCACTTGATCATGGTGCATTATTGTTTTGATGTGCTGTTGGATTCAGATTGCTAGGATTATTTTGGGGATTTTTTGTGTCTATGTTTATCAGGGATATTGGCTTGTAGTTTTCCTTTTTTGTGTCTTTGGTTTTGATATCAGAGTAATGCTGGCCTTGTAGAAGAGTAAAGGAAGAATTATCTACTCTTCAATTTTTTTGAATAGTTTGAGGAGAATGGTGTTAGGTCTTCTTTGTAAGTTTGGTAAAATTTTGGCAGTGAAGTCATTTGGTCTGGGACTTTCCTTTTTTGTAAAACTTTTAAGTTTCTGATTCAATATTGTTACTCATTATTGGTCTGATTAGGTTTCCTATTTATTTCTGATTCAATCTTGGTAGGTTGTATACATCCAGGAACTTATCCATGTCTTCCAGGTTTTTCAGTTTGTTAGTGTTCATAATAGTCTCTGATGATCTTTTGTATTTCTGTGAAATAAGTTGTAATGTCTTCTTTTTCATTTCTAATTTTGTTTATTTTGGTCTTCTCTCTTCTTTTTTTTGGTCAGTCTAGCTAGTGCCTTATCGTGTTAGGCTATTCTCAAACTGCTATAAATACATACCTGAGATTATGAAGAAAAGAGATTTAATTGACTCACAGTTTTGTATGGCCAGGAAGCCCTCAGGAAACTTACAATCATGGCAGAAGGTGAAGGGGAAGCAGACACATATTCACATGGCTGGAGGAGAGAGATAGAGAGAGAAGGGAGAGGTGCTACACACTGTAAAACAAGCAGTTCTCGGGAGAACTCTATCACAGCAAGGGGGAAGTCCATATTTATGATTTAGTCACTTCCTACCAGGCCCCTCCTCCAACATTGAGGATTACAATTCAACATGAGATTTGGGTGGGGACACAGCCGACCATATCATTCCACCCTCAGCCCATCCAAAATCTCATGTCCTTCCCACATTTCAAAATACAAGTATGCCTTCCCAACAGTCCCCCGAAGTCTTAACTCATTCCAGCATTAACTCAAAAATCCAGACCACAGTCCAAACTCTCATCTGAGACAAGGCCAGTCCCTTCTGCCTGTGAGTCTGTAAAATCAAAACAAGTTAGTTACTTCCAAGATACAATGGAAGTACAGGCATTGGGTAAATACTCCCTTTCCAAAAGGGAGAAATTGACCAAAACAAAGGGGCTACAGGCCCCATGCAAGTCCAACACAAAGTAAGGCAGTCATTAAATCTTAAAGCTCCAGAATAATCTCTTTTGACTCCATTCTCATATCCAGGCCACAATGATGCAAGGGGTGGGCTGCCAAGGCCTTGGGCATCTCCATCCTGGTGGCTCTGCAGGGTATATCTCCCATGGCTGCTTTCATGGACTGGCATTGAGTGCCTGTGGCTTTTCCAGGTTTACAGTGCAAGCAGTAGGTAGATCTACCATTCTGAGGTCTGGAGGATGGTGGCCCTCTTCTCACAGCTCCACTAGGCAGTGCCCCAGCGGGGACCCTGTGTGGGTGCTCCAACTTCACATTTTCCCTCTGCACTGCCCTAGTAGAGGTTCTCCATGAGGGCTGTTCCCCTGCAGCAGACTGCTACCTGGACATCCAGGCATTTCCATACATCCTCTGAAATCTAGGTGGAGGCTCCCTTGCCTTCTCGGCACACAACTGCAGGCTTAACAGCATGTGGAAGCCACCAAGGCTTGGGGTTTGCACCCTCTGAAGCAATGGCCTGAGCAGTACCTTGACCCCTTTTAGACACAGCTGGAGCTGGAGTGACCACAATGCAGGGTGCCATGTCCTAAAGCTGCACAGAGCAGTGGGGCCCTGGGACAGGTGATGAAACCATTTTTCCTCACTTGGACCTCCAGGCCTGTGATGGGAGGGCCTGCTGCAAATGTCTCTGAAATGCCTTGGTAGCATTTTCCCCAATGTCTTGGCTATTAACATTGGGCTCCTCTTTACTTATGCAAATTTCTATAGCCGGCTTGAATTCCTCCCCAGAAAATGGGTTTTTCTTTGCTACCACACTGTCTGGCTGCACATTTTCCAAACTTTTATGCTCTGCTTCTGTTTTAAATATAAGTTATAGTTTCAGGTCATTTCTTTGTTTGTGTAAATGAGATTAGGCTTCAGAAGTAGCCAGGCCACATCTTGAATGCTTTGCTGCTTAGAAATTTCTTCTGCCAGGCTGGGTGTTGTGGCTCATGCCTATAATCCCAGCACTTTGGGAGGCTGAGGCGGGTGGATCACCTGAGGTCAGGAGTTTGAAACCAACCTGGCCAACATGGCGAAACCCGTTCTCTACTAACAATACGAAAATTAGCTAGGTATGGTGGTGGCCACCTGTAATCTCAGTGACTTGGGAGGCTGAGGCAGGAGAATCACTTGAACCTGGGAGGTGGAGGTTGCAATGATCTGAGGTCACGCCATTGCACTCCAGCCTGGGTGACAAGAGTGAAACTCTGTCTCAAAAAAAAAAAAAATTTCTTCTCCCAGGTACCCTAAATCACCTCTCTGAAGATCAAAGTTCAACAGATCTCTAGAGCAGGGGCACAATGCCACCAGTCTCTTTGCTAAAGCATAGCAAGAGTGACCTTTACTCCAGTTTCCAATAAGTTCCTCATCTCCCTCTGAGACCACCTCAGCTTGGACTTCATTATCCATATTACTATCAACATTTTGGTTACAACAATTTAACAAGTGTCTAGGAAGCTCCAAATTTTCCCTCATCTTATCTTCTTCTGAACCCTCCAAATTGTTCCAACCTCTGCCTGTTACCCAGTTCCAAAGTCACTTCCACATTTTCAGGTACCTTTATAGCAATGCCCCAATTTTCTGAGTACCACTTTTCTATATTAGTCCATTCTCACACTGCTATAAAGACATACATGAGACTGGATAATGTATGAAGAAAATAGGTTTAATTGACTCACAGTTCCTCATGGCTGGGGAGGCCTCAGGAGGCAGAATGGGAAGGGGAAGCAGGCACATCTTCACATGACTACAGAAGGGAGGCAGGGCAAGGTGCTACATACTTTTAAACAAGCAGTTCTTGGGAGAACTCTATCACAAGAACAGCAAGGGGGAAGTCTGCCTGTATGATTCAATCACCTCCCACCAGGCCCCTCCTCCAACATTGAGGATTACAATTCAACATGAGATTTCAGTAAGGGCACAGCCAAACCATATCACTTATTGACTTTACCTTTTCAAAAAGCCAACTTTTCATTTTATTGATCATTTATATTGCTTTTTTTTTTTAGCCCCTATTTTGTTTAGTTCTACGTTGATCTTCATTTCTTTCCTTTTACTAACTTTAGGTTTGGTTTGTTCTTCCTTCTCTGTTTCCTTGAGGTGCATTGTTAGATCATTTATTTGAAATCTTCTTAGTTGTGAAAGGTGTTTACTGCTATAAATTTCCCTGTTAGCACTGGTTTTGCTATATTCCATAGGTTTTGGTATGTTGTATTTCCATTTTCATTTTTTACACGAAAGTTTTTTTTATGTCCTTCTTAATATTTTCATTGACTCAATAGTCATTCAGGAGCATGCTGTTTAATTTCCATGAATTTGTACAGTTTTCAAAGTTCCTCTTGTTATTGATTTTTAATTTTATTCCATTGAGATCTGAGAAGATACAAGATATGACTTCAATTTTTAAAATTTGTTGAGACTTGTTTTGTGGCCTAAAATAGGGTCTATCCTGGTGAATGCTCCATATGCTGATAAGAATCATACATATTTTGCAGCTCTTGAGTAATATGTTTTGTATATGTCTGTTAGGCCCTTGTGCTCTAAAGTGCAGTTTAAATCCAATGTTTCTTGTTAATTTTTAGGCTAGATAATTTGTCTAGTACGGAGAGTGTGTTGCTGAAGTTCCCAACTATTATTGCATTGTAGCCAATCTCTTTATTTAAATCTAATATTTGCTATACATATAAGGGGTGCCCAGTTGTTGAGTGCATATATACTTACAATTGTTATCTCCTGCTGATTTGATTATTTTATCATTATGTAGTGACATTTTTGACTCTTTCTACTGTTTTTGACTTAAAGCCTGTTTTATTTGATACAATTATGGCTACTCCTGATCACTTTTGGTTTTCATTTGTGTGAAATATCTTTTTCCATCCCTTTATTTTCAGTCTGCGTGCCTTTACAAGTAAAGTGAGTTTCTTGTGGGCAGCATATAGTTGGGTCATTTTTTAAAAATCCATTTGATTTAATGGATTAAATTTATTTTTTTTAATCCATTCAGCCAGTTTTCTGTCTTTTAAGTTGAAAATCTAATATGTTTATATTCAAGGCTCTTATTAATATGTGAGAACTTTTTCCTGTTGTTTTGTTCATTGTTTTCTGTTTGTTTTGTATATCCTTTGCTACCTTCTTTCTGTCTTATTGTTTATCATTGTGGTGTGTGATTTTCTGTAGTGGTAACATCTGATGTCCTTTTTCTTCCTCATTTGCATGCCTGCTCTACCAGTGAGTTTTATACTTTTGTGTGTTATTATGATCATATATATTTGATCATAATATAAAATATACTGATTGATCTGAGTTGATTGATCTGATCAATCAACTGAATTGATTGATCTGAGTCCTTTTGCTTCTGCATTTGCATGCCTCCTCTACCTATGAGTTTCATACTTTTGTGTGTTATTGTGATCATGTATATTTTTCTTTGGCTGCCAGATATAGGAGTCCCTTAAGCATTTCTTACAGGACCAGTCTAGTGAAGAATTCCCTCAGTTTTTGCTAATCTATGAAACACTTTATTGCTTCTTCATTTTTGAATGATAATTTTGCTGGTTGTAGTATTCTTGGCTGATAGTGTTGTTTTCTTTCAGCACTTTGAATACATCATCTCATTCTTCCTGAGCCTGTAAGGTTTTTGCTGAGAAATCAACTGTTAATCTGATTAGAGTTCCCTTATATGTGACTAGATATCTTTCTCTTGCTGTTTAGGGAATTGTTTCTCTGTCTTTGACTTTTGATAATTTGACTATAATGTGTCTTAAAGAAGATTTTTTTGGGTTTGTGTCAATTTGGAGATTTTTGGGCTTCCTATATCTGTATATGTCAAACTCTTGCTAGACTTGGGAAGTTTTCAGCTATTATTTCATAATATAGGTTTTATATGCGTTTGCTCTTTTCTTCACCTTCTGAAACACCCAAAATTCAAATTTTCTTTGGTTGCTACATAGTATTCTATATGTCATGTAAGCTTTCTTCATTCTTTATTCTTTTTATTTCTCTAATATGCATCATAAATTTTAATTTCAGTAAATGGCAGAGTTTGACAGAGAAATAGCTTTGTAGGTAAACATTGAGATTATATTATTACAACATGTTTCCCCTTCAGGTTTTTTACGCAGGTTTATAAATAAATATATATATATATACACACACACATATATGGATACGTGTGTGTATATGTAAAAAGAATATATAAATATATAAAGGAAATATAGATATATGAAATGTAAGCATTGCTTCTTAAAAATTCATCATAAACTGCTTTTCTTTGCAGTGAATAAAAGTGTTTGACAAATCAATACCACTTCTAACTAGTCTTTAGAGTATAAGAACATGTGAATATCTCCATTGGGCCCTAATAGGCTGTGATGGTTAATACCGAGTGTCAACTTGACTGTATTGAACAATACAAAGTATTGATCCTGAGTGTGTCTTTGAGGGTGCTGCCAAAGGACATTAACATTTGAGTCAGTGGGCTGTGAAAGGAGACCCACCCTTAATCTGGATGGGTACAATCTAATCAGCTGTTAGTGCTGGTAGAATATAAGCAGGCAGAAAAATGTGAAAAAGAGAGACTGGCATAGCCTCCCAGCCTACATCTTTCTCCTGTGCTGGACGCTTCCTGCCCTCAAACATCAAACTCCAAGTTCTTCAGTTTTAGAACTTGGACTAGCTCTCCTTGCTCCTCAGTCTGCAGATGGCCTATTGTGGGACCTTGTGATCATGTGAGTTAATACTTAATAATCTCCTGTATATATGTATATTCCATTAGTTCTGTCCCTGTAGAGAATCCTGACCAATACAGATTTTGGTACCAGGAGTGGTTCTAGAGGAACAGAATATTAAGGTTGGAGGTTTTTTGTTGGTTTGGGGGTTTCTGGAGTTGGCTGCTTAATATGATTAGACCCAAAAATGCTAAGGACTCTGCTTCTAATAGTATGGAGAACACTGATAGTCCTTGGTGTGAACTGTTTAAAGAGTTATGCAAAATAAATGCATTTGACACTCCTGATTCATTGGTCATGAGAGGCAAGGTGTTTAGTGGCTCTATACATAATATCTTTGACCGTATGTGGACAACCAAGGAACATAATGAAGCTAGTTGGTTGCTCCTAAGTTCAGTGGACAATGATGAAAGAAAATGATGAACTCAGGGATTCTATCTCCTGGTCTCAGAAGCAGATACTGAGCCTCAAATCTGCTAAGACTGCCCTGAGTGAGAGTCTTATCTTCGGTAGAGAAAGAGCTGAAATTGTGGAAAAACAGACACAAGCTCTTATCATGCAAGTGGCTGACCTGCAACAGAAGGTGCATGCACAGCCTCACCAGGTATCTACTGTAAAAGTGAGGGCATTGATTGGAAAAGAATGGAACCCTGCAACTTGGAATGGGGATGTGCTAGAGGACCTGATGAAGCTGGGGACACTGAGTTTGTAAACTCTGATGATACTTCTTTTGTCAGAAGAAACAGCTTACCCATCCCCAGCAGTGGCAACATCCCCTCTCCAACCCATGTTGCCATCAGCCTTTCCACCTTTGTCTGAAAAGATAAACCCTGCACTGCCTGAGGGAACAGTGATGGCCTCCCCTGAGGCAGTTGCCAGGTAAGATAATGTTGATTCTCCTCAGGAGCCACCCCAGCACCTCTGTTTGCTCTTAGATGTATAACTAAAGTCCCAGCAGACCCCTAGAGACAAGTGAGGTTGAGACTGTGACCCATGAGGAGGTGCACTACACTCGAAAAGAACTGCTTGAATTTTCTAATTTGTATAAACAGAAATCTGGAGAACAGGCATGGGAATGGATATTAAGGGTGTGGGATAATGGTGGAAGGAACATAGAATTGGATGGATTTATTGATTTGGGCCCCCTAAGTAGGGACTCTGCATTTAATGTTGCAGCTTGGGGAGTTAAAAAAGGTTCTAATAGTTTATTTGCTTGGTTAGCTGAAATATGGATTAAAAGATGTCTCACTGTGAACGAGCTGGAAATGCCTGATCTCCCTTGGTTTAATGTAGAGGAAGGTATCAAAAGGCTTAGGGAGATTGGGATGGTGGACTGGATTAGTCACTTTAGACCTACTCATCTCAGCTGGGAGGGCCCAGAAGATACATCCTTAACCAATGCCTTGTGAAATAGATTTGTGAGGGCAGCACCTGCATCTTTGAAGAGCCCTGCAATTGCTCTCCTCTGTATGTCAGATCTAACAGTGGGAACCACAGTCATTCAATTACAAAATTTAAATACAATGGAAATAATTGGATCCTGAGGTGGCAGGGGCCAAGTGGCAAAACTAAACCATCAAAGGCAAGGTGGGGATAGCTACCATAATGGACACCAGAGGCAAAGTGGCAACCAGAATAGTCTGACTCATGTAGAGCTCTGGCATTGGCTAATTGATAATGGTATTCCTAGAAGTGAAATTGATAGGAAGCATACTGCATTCCTACTTAATTTATAAAAGCAGAAAACTTCTAGGTCAAATGGACAAAAGACTAATTTGAATTATAAAAACAGAATCATGGCCGCTCAATCAATTTCCAGACTTGAGCCAGTTTACAGACCCAGAATCCCTTGAATGAAGGGAAGGCTGGGTCCCCTTGAGGAAGGGCCCAACTATATTACCGACAATTTATGCAGTGAGTCTTTCTCCTATCCTTCCCCAAGGAGACTTTTGGCCTTTTACCAGGATAACTATGCATTGGGGAAAAAGAAATGATCGGACATTTTGAGGACTACTGGACACTGACTCTGAGCTGATATTGATTCCAGGGGAACCAAAATGTTATTGTTATTCTCCAGTTAAAGTAGGGGCTTATGGAGATCAGGTAATTAATGGAGTTTTAGCTCAGATCTGACTTACAGTGGGTTGAGTGAGTCCCTGGACTCATCCTGTGGTCATTTTCCCAGTGCCAGAATGCACAATTGGCATAAACATACTTAGCAGCTGGCAGAACACCCACATTGGCTCCCTGACCTGTAGGGTGAGGGCTATCATTGTGGTAAAGGCCAAATGGAAGCCATTAGAGCTGCCTGTACCTAGAAAAATAGTAAATCAAAAACAATATTGCATCCCTGGAGGGATTGCAGAGATTAGTGCCACCATCAAGTACTTGAAAGAAGCAGGGGTGGTGATTCCCACCACATCCCCATTCAACTCTCCAATTTGGCCAGTGCAGAAGACAGACGGACCTTGCAGAATGACAGTGGATTATCATAAGCTTAACTAAGTGGTGACTCAAATTGCAGCTGCCGCTGTACCACATATGGTTTCATTGCTTGAGAAAATTAACACATCTGCTTAAACTGGTATGCAGCCATTGACTTGGCAAATGCCCTTTTCTCCATTTCTGTCCATAAGGCCTATGAGAAGCAATTTGCCTTCAGTTGGCAAGGCCAGAAATATACCTCTACTGTCCTACCTCAGGGGTTAATCAACTCTCTAGCTTTGTATCATAATCTTATTCGGAGAGACCCTGATCGCTTTTCACTTCCGCAAGATATCACACTGGGTTTGTTACATTGATGACATTATGCTGATTGTATCCAGTGAGCAAGAAGTAGCAAACACACTGGACTTAGTGGTGAGATATTTGTGTGCCACAGGATGGGAATAAATCCAATTAAAATTCAGGTACCTTCTACCTCAGTAAAATTTCTAGGGATCCAGTCGTGGGGGGCTGTCGAGATATTCCTTATAAGGTGAATGATAAGTTGCTGCATTTGGCCCCTCCTACAACCAAAAAAGAGGCACAACGCCTAGTGGATCTATTTGGATTTTGGAGGCAACACACTCCTCATTTAGGTGTGTTACTCCAGCCCATTTATCAAATCACCCAAAAAGCTGCCGGTTTTGAGTGGAGTCCAGAACAGGAGAAGGCTCTGCAACAGGTCCTTGCTGCTGTACAAGCTGCTCTGCCACTTGGGCCACATGACCCAGCAGATCCAATGGTGCTTGAGGTATCAATGGCAGATAGAAATGCTATTTGGAGGCTTTGGCAGGCTCCCATAGGTGAATCACAGCAGAGGCCTCTAGGATTTTGGAGCAAGGCCCTGCCATCTTCTGAAGATAACTACTCTCCTTTTGAGAGACAGCTCTTGGCCTGTTATTGGGATTTGGTGGAAACTGAACCTTTGACTATGGGTCATCAAGTCACTATGTGACCTGAACTGCCAATCATGAACTGGGTGCTTTCTGACCCATCTAGCATAAAGTGGGTCATGCACAGCAGTATTCCATTATCAAACGGAAGTGGCTATATGTGATTGTGCTCAAGCAGGTCCTGAAGGCACAAGTAAGTTACCTGAGGAAGTAGCTCAAATGCCTATGGTCTCCAATCCTGCCACCCTGCCTTCTATCCCCCAGCCTGCACTGATGGCCTCATGGGGAGTTCCCTATGATCAGTTGACAGAGGAAGAGAAGACTAGGGCATAGTTCACAGATGGCTTTGCACAATATGCAGGTACAACCCAAAAGTGGACAGCTGCAGCACTATAGCCCCTTTCTAGGACATCCCTGAAGGACGGTTGTGAAGGGAAATCTTCCCAGTGGGCAGAACTGTGAGCAGTGCACCTCATTGTGCATTTTTCATGGAAGGAGAAATGACCGGATGTACAATTACATATTGATTCATGGGCTGTAGCCAACAGTTTGGCTGGATGGTCAGGGACTTGGAAGAAGCATGATTGGAAAATTGGTGGCAAAGAAATTTGGTGAAGAGGTATGTGGATGAACCTCTCTGAGTGGTCAAAAACTGTGAAGATATTTGTATCCCATGTGAGTGCTCACCAACGGGTGACCTCAGCAGTGGAGGATTTTAATAATAAAGTAGATAGGATGAGCTGTTCTGTGAACACTACTCAGCCTCTTTCCCCAGCCACCCTGTCATCTCCCAATGGGCCCATGAACAAAGTGGCTATGGTGGCAGGGATGGAGGTTATGCATGGGCTCAGCAACATGGACTTCCACTCACCAAGACTGACCTGGCTATGGCCACTGCTGAGTCTGAATGCCCAATTTGCCAGCAGCAAAGACCAACAGTGAGCCCTCAATATAGCACCATTCCTTGAGGTGATCAGCCAGCTACCTGGTGGTAGGTTGATCATATTGGAACTCTTCCATCATGGAAAGGGCAGAGGTTTGTCCTCACTGGAATAGACACTTACTCCAGCTATGGATTTGCTTATCTTGCACACAATGCTTCTACCAAGACTACCATCTATGGACTCACGGAATGCCTTATCCACTCTCATGGTATTCCACACAGCATTGCCTCTGACTAAGGCACTTGGTCACATGGCTGAAGAAGTGCAACAGTGGGCTCATGCTCATAAGCCAGGCTCATTCAGAGGTGGTATTGTTTCATTCTTCCATTGCTCATGGATCTCTCTGGTCCTACTATGTTCCCTATCATCCTGAAGCAGTTGGATTGATAGAATGGTGGAATGGCCTTTTTTTTTTGTCACAAAATACCAACTAGGTGACAATACTTTGCAGGGCTGGGGCAAAATTCTCCAGAAGGCTGTGATGCTCTGAATCAGCGTCTAATATGTGGATTCACGGGTCCAGGAATCAAGGGGTGGAAGTGGAAGTGGCACCACTCACCATCAACCCTAGTGATCACTAGCAAAATTTTTGCTCCCTGTTCCCACAAAATTACACTCTGCTGGCCTAGAGGTCTTAGTTCCACAGGGAGGAGTGCTGCTGCCAGGAGACACAATAATAATTCCACTAAACTGGAAGTTAAGATTGCCACCTTGACACTTCGGACTCCTCCTACCTTTAAGTCAACAGACTAAGAAGGGAGTTACAGTGTTGGCTGGGGTGATTAACCCAGACTATCAAGATGAAAGCAGTCTACTACTTCACAACGGAGGTAAGGAAGAGTATGAGTGGAATACAGGAGATCCGTTAGGGTGTCTTTTAGTATTACCATGCCCTGTGATTAAGGTCAATGGGAAACTACAACAGCTCAATCCAGGAAGGACTACAAATGACACAGACCCTTCAGGAATGAAGGTTTGGGTCATTCCACCAGGAAAAAAAACTGGACCTCCTGAGTTGCTTGCTGAAAGTAAAGGAAATACAGAATGGGTAGTAGAAGAAGGTAGTCATTAATACCAGCTAGGACCACGTGACTAGCTGCAGAAATGAGTTCTGTAATTGTCATTAGTATTTCCTCTTTCTACTGTTAAAAACATGTTTGTGCACATATACACTTGTACTAAGAAAAGATCTTCATTTTATTTCCATCTCAATTGTCATGTGATATAAGATTTATTGACTTCACATCAGCATTTAAGTATTATTAACTTTATGTAATAGTATTTTGGTTGGGGATTGGTGTGTTTCTAGTTATACAAAGGATAGTTGTAGTATGTTAGGTGTAATTATGATCTTATTATTGTCTTTGAAGATTATGTATAATATCAGGAGATATGTATGAGTTCACATTGACAAGGGATGGACTTGTGATGATTAATACTGAGTTGCAGCTTGATTGGATTGAAGCATACAAAGTATTGATCCTGGGTGTGTCTGTGAAGGTGTTGCCAAAGGAGATTAATATTTGAGTCAGTGGGTTGGGAAAGGCAGACCTACCCTTAATCTGGGTGGGTACAATCTAATCAGCTGCCAGCACAGCTAGAATATAAGCAAGCAGAAAAATGTGAAAAGAGAGACTGGCCTAGCCTCCCAGCCTACATCTTTCTCCCTTGCTAGATGCTTACTGCCCTCAAACATCAAACTCCAAGTTCTTCAGTTTTGGAATGCAGACAGGCTTTGTTTGCTCCTCAGCCTGCAGATACCTTGTGATTGCATGAGTTAATACTTATTAAACTCATATATATATATATATATATATATATATATATATATATATATATATATATATATATAGTTCTGTCCTTCTAGAGAACCTAGACTAATACGTAGGCCAAGTAGCAAAATCCAGCAGTAAATGGTAAATGTAACCATGCCTTATTTAAGATGCATCATAAACTCTTTTCTTTCAGTGAATGGCAGAGTTTGACAGAGAAACACCTTTATAAGAAAACATTGAAAATATGTTATTAGAACATGTTTCTTTCTCCATTGGGTGCTAACAGGTCAAGTAGAGAAATCCAGCACTAATAGGCAAAGATAAGCATGCTTTCTTTAAGAGGCATCATAAACTGTTTTCTTTCAATGAATGGCAGAGTTTGACAGAGAAATGCCCGTTAAGCATTGAGAATATGTTAATAGAACATGTTTCTTTTTCCATTGGTTTATATTACACAAGATTACATATGCAGCTACAAATGGAAAATATAAGCATGGTTTCCTAAGGATTTATCATAAACCGTTTTCTTTAGGTGAATGAAAATGACTGACAAATAAATACTTTTGAAATCTAACTTTTAGAACATGTTATTAGAACATGTTCATGTCTCCATTGGACCCTAGAAGGCCAAGTAAAGGAATCCAGCAAAAATAAACAAATGTAAGCATGCTTTTATTAAGATGCATTGTAAACTGTTTTCTCTCAGTGAATGGAAGGGTTTCACAGAGAAACACCTTTGTAAGTAAATGTGAGAATATGTGGAGAGGCCAAGATGGCAGACTAGAAGCTGCTCATTCTTCTCTCTTTTCTTTTTTATTAGTCTGGCTAGTAGTCTACCTATTTTGTTGATCTTTTGAAAAAACCAGCTCCTGGATTCATTGATTTTTTTGAAGGGTTTTTCATATCTCTATCTCTGTTCTGCTCTGATCTTAGTTATTTCTTATCTTCTGCTAGCTTTTGAATTTGCTTGTTCTTGCTTCTTTGTTCTTTTAATTGTGATGTTAGGGTGTCAATTTTAGATCTTTCCTGCTTTCTCCTCTGGGCATTTCATGCTATAAATTTCCCTCTAAACACTGTTGTGGCTGTGTTCCAGATATTCTGGTATGTTGTGTCCGTGTTCACATTGGTTTCAAATAACTTATTTATTTCTGCCTTCATTTTGTTATTTACTTAGTAGTCATTCAGGAGAAAGTTGTTCAGTTTCAATGTAGTTGTGCAGTTTTGAGTGAGTTTCTTAATCCTGAGTTCTAATTTCATTGCACTGTGGTCTGAGAGACTGTTTGTTATGATTTCCATTCTTTTGGGTTTGCTGAGGAATGTTTTACTTCCAATTATGTGGTCAATTTTAGAATAAGTGCGATTTGGGGCTGAAAAGAATGTATATTCTGTCAATTTGGGGTGGAGAGTTTGGTAGATGTCTATTAGGTCTGCTTGGTCAAGAGCTGGGTTCAAGTCCTGAATATCCTTATTAATTTTCTGTCTCATTGACCTGTCTAATATTGACAGTGGGGTGTTAAAGCCTCCACTATTATTGTGTGGGAGTCTAAGTCTCTTTGTAGGTCTCTAAAAACTTGCTTTATGAATATGGTTGCTCCTGTACTGGGTGCATATATATTTAGGATAGTTAGCTCTTCTTGTTGCATTGATCCCTTTACCATTACGTAATGCCCTTTTTGTCCTTTTTGATCTTTGTTGGTTTAAAGTCTGTTTTATCAGAGACTAGGATTGCAACCTCTGCTTTTTTTTTTTTTTTTTTTTTTTTTTTTGCTTTCCATTTGCTTGGTAAATATTCCTCCATCCCTTTATTTTGAGCCTATGTGTGTCTTCGCACTTGAGATGGCTCTCTTGAATATAGCATACTGATGGGCCTTGACTGTTTATCCAATTTGCCAGTCTGTGTCTTTTAATTGGGGCATTTAGCCCATTTACATTTAAGGTTAATATTGTTACGTGTGACTTTTATCCTGTCATTATGATCTAGCTGGTTATTCTGCCAGTTAATTATTGAAGTTTTTTTCATAGTGTTGATGGTCTTTACAATTTGGTATGTTTTTGCAGTGGTTGGTACTGATTTTTCCTTTCCTTGTTTAGTGCTTCCTTCAGTATCTCTTGTAAGGCAGGCCTAGTGGTGCTGGTGCCAAAATCCCTCAGCATTTGCTTGACTGTAAAGGATTTTATTTCTCCTTCACTTAAGAAGTTTAGTTTGGCTGGGTTGAAATTCTGGGTTGAAAATTCTTCTCTTTAAGAATGTTGAGTATTGGCCTCCACTCTCTTTGGTTTGTAGGGTTTCTGCAGAGAGATCTGCTGTTAGTCTGATGGGCTTCCCTTTGTGGGTAACTTGACCTTTCTCTCTGGCTGTCCTTAACATTTTTTTTCTCCATTTCAACCTTGGTGAATCTGACGATTATATGTCTTGGGGTTGCTCTTCTTGAGGAGTATCTTTGTGGTGTTCTCTGTATTTCCTGAATTTGAATGTTGGCCTGTCTTGCTAGATTGGGGAAGTTCTCCTGGATAATATCCTGAAGAGTGTTTTCCAACTTGGTCAGGTCGTTTATGTTCTTTTCTAAACTGGCTATTCTAGTTAACATTTCCTCTAACCTTTTTTCAAGGTTCTCAGCTTCCTTGCCTTGGGTTAGAACATGCTCTTTTAGCTCAGAGGAGTTTGTTACCCATCTTCTGAAGCCTACTGCTATCAATTCGTCAAACTCATTCTCCATCCAGTTTTGTTCCCTTGCTGGCGAGGAGTTGTGATCCTTTGGAGGAGAAGAGGTCTTCTGGATTTTGGAATTTTCGGCCTTTTTGCACTGGTTTTTCCTTATCTCTGTGGTCTTTGGTCTTTGATGTTGGTGAAGTTCGGATGGAGTTTCTGTGTGGAAATCCTTTTGGTTGATGTTGATGCTATTCCTTTCTGTTTGTTAGTTTTGCTTCTAACAGTCAGGCCCCTCTGCTGCAGGTCTGCTGGAGTTCACTGGAGGTGTACTCTAGACTCTGTTTGTCTAGGTTTCACCAGTGGAGGCTGCAGAAAAGCAGAGATTGCTGCCTGTTCCTGTTTCTGGAAGCTTAATCCCAGGGGGGCACCTGCCACATGCCAGTTGTAGCTCTTCTCTATGAGGTGTCTGTTGACCCCTGCTGGAAAGTGTCTCCCAGTCAGGAGGCACAGGGGTCAGTGATCCACTTGAGGAGGCAGTCTGTCCCTTAGCAGAGCTCGAGTGCTGTGCTGCAGGATCTGCTGCTCTCTTCAGTGCTGGCAGGCAGGAGTGTTTAAGTCTGCTGAAGCTGCACCCACAGCCACTCCTTCCCCTAGGTGCTGTCCCTGGGAGATAGGAGTTTGATCTATAAGCTCCAGACTGGAGCTGCTGCTTTTCTTTCAGAGATGCCCTGCCCAGAGAGGAGTAATCTAGAGAGGCAGTCTGGCTACAGTGACTTCATGGAGCTGCAGCGGGCTCCGCCAAGTTCAAACTCCCCAGTGGCTTTGTTTACACTGTCTGGGGAAAACTGCCTACTCAAGCCTCAGTAATGGCAGATGTCCCTACCCCCATCAAGCTTGAGCATCCCAGGTTGACTTCAGACTGCTGTGCTGGCAGGAAGAATTTCAAGCCAGTGGGTCTTAACTTGCTGGGATCCATGCGGGTGGGATCTGCTGAGCTAGACCACTTGGCTCCCTGGCTCCAGCCCCCTTTCCAGGGGAGTGAAACAGTTCTATCTCACTGGCTTTCCAGGCGCCACTGGGGTATGACAGAAACTCCTGCAGCTAGCTCGGTGTCTGCCCAAAAGGCCTCCCAGTTTTGTGCTTGAAACCCAGGGCCCTTGTGGCGTAGGTGAGAGGTGACAGCATGCTGGCAGCCTTCACAGCTCTCACTCCCTCTCGGCGCCTCCTCTCCCTGGGCTCCCACTTTGGTGGCACTTGAGGAGCCCTTCAGCCCACTGCTGCACTGTGGGAGCCCCTTTCTGGGCTGGCCAAGGCCAGAGCTGGCTCCCTCAGCTTGCAGAGAGGTGTGGAGGGAGAGGTGCAAGCGGGAACCTGGGATGCGCACAGTGCTTGTGGGCCAGCTGGAGTTCCGGGTGGGCGTGGGCTTGGCGGGCCCTGCACTGGGAGCGGCAGGCTGGCCCTGCTGGCCCCGGGCAATGAGGAGCTTAGCACCCAGGCCAGCAGCTGCAGAGGGTGTGCTGGGTCCCCCAGCAGTGCTGGCCCACTGGCACTGCGCTGGATTTCTCGCCGGGCCTTAGCTGCCTTCCCATGGGGCAGGGCTCGGGACCTGCAGCCCACCATGCCTGAGTCTCCCCCGCTCTCCATGGGCTCCTGTGCAGCCCAAGCCTCCCCAATGAGTGCTGCCCCCTGCTCCATGGTGCCCAGTCCTATCGACCACCCAAGGGCTGAGGAGTGCAGGCGCATGGCGTGGGACTGGCAGGCAGCTCCACCTGCGGCCCGTGTGCAGGATCCACTGTGTGAAGCCAGCTGGGCTCCTGACTGGTAGGGACTTGGAGAACCTTTATGTCTAGCTCAGGGATTGTAAATACACCAATCGGCACTCTATAACTAGCTCAAGTTTTGTAAACACACTAATCAGCATCCTGTGTCTAGCTCAGGGTTTGTGAATGCACCAATCTACACTGTATCTAGCTACTCTGGTGTGGACTTGGAGAATCTTTGTGTGGACCCTCTGTATGTAGCTAATCTGGTGGGGACGTGGAGAACCTTTGTGTCTAGCTCAGGGATTGTAAACACACCAATCAGCGCCCTGTCAAAACAGACCACTTGGCTCTACCAATCAGCAGGATGTGGGTGGGGCCAGATAAGAGAATAAAAGCAGGCTGCCCGAGCCAGCAGTGGCAACCCGCTAGGGTCCCCTTCCACATTGTGGAAGCTTTGTTCTTTCGCTCTTTGCAAGAAATCTTGCTGCTGCTCACTCTTTGGGTCCACACTGCCTTTATGAGCTGTAACACTCAACCGCAAAGGTCTGCAGCTTCACTCCTAAAGCCAGCGAGACCACAAACCCACCAGAAGGAAGAAAGTCTGAACACATCCGAACATCAGAAGGAACAAACTCCAGACATGCCACCTTTAAGAACTGTAACACTCACCGTGAGGGTCCACGGCTTCATTCTTGAAGTCAGTGAGACCAAGAACCCACCAATTCCAGAAACATAGGCACTGGAGGGAATTTCCTGGTCTGTGGGTTGTGGAGACCATGGGAACAGCGTAGTACCTGGACTGTAGTGCGCCATTCCTCATGGCACCGTCCCTCACAGCTTCCCTTGGCTAGGGGATGGAGTTCTCTGACCCTTTTTGCTTCCCAGGTGAGGTGACACCCCACCCTGCTTTGGCTCACCCTCTGTGGGCTGCACCCACTGTCTAACCAGGGAGATGAGTTGGGTACCTCAGTTGGAAATGCAGAAATCACCCACCTTCTGCATTGATCTTGCTGCAAGCTGCAAACCTGAACTGTCCCTATTTAGCCATTTTGCCAGCCCCAAAAAAACAGGTGATCCTTTTTTTTTTTCAGATGGTGTCTCCCTCTGTTACCCAGGCTGAAGAGCAGTGGGGCAATATCGGCTCACTGCAACTTCTGCCTCCTGCGTTCAAGTGAATCTCCCACCTCAGCCTCCTGAATAGCTGGGATTACAGGCACCCACCATCATGCCCGGCTAATCTTTCTATTTTTGTAGAGATGGGGTTTCACCATGTTGGCCAGGCTGGTCTTGAACTTCTGACATGAGGTGATCTGCTCACCTCAGTCTCCCAAAATGCTGGGATTACAGGAGTGAGCCACCAGACCCGGCCTATTTTTGAGCTTTAAAATTTGATGGCCCTGCTGGATTTCAGACTTGCATGGGCCCTGTAAGCCCTTTGTTTTGGCCAATTTCTTCCATTGGAATGGTGTATTTACCCAATACCTCTACTCCCATCATATTAGGAAGTAACTAGCTTGCTTTTGATTTTACAGGCTCATAGGCAAAAGGGACTTGCTTTGTCTCAGAAGAGACCATCAAATGTGGACTTTTGGGTTAATGCTGAAATGAGTTAAGACTTTGGGAGACTGTTGGGAAAGCGTGATTGGTTTTGAAAACTGATGACATGAAATTTGGAGGGGCCAGGAGCAGAATTATATGGTTTGGCTGTTTCCCCACCCAAATCTCAACTTGAACTGTATCTCCCATAATTTCCACATGTTGTGGGAGGGAGCCAGGGGGAGGTAATTGAATCATGGGAACTGGTCTTTCTCATGCTATTCTCATGATAGTGAATAAATCTCATGAGATCTGGTGGGTTTATTAGGGGTTTCTGCTTTTGCTTCTTCCTCATTTTCTCTTGCCATCACCATGTAAGAAGTGCCTTTCACCTCCTGCCATGATTCTGAGGGCTTCCCAGCCATGTGGAACTTTAAGTCCAATAAAACCTCTTTTTCTTCCCAGTCTTGGGTATGTCTTTATCAGGAACACGAAAATGGACTAATACACCTACTTTTGTGTGAACCCAGCCAGAGAGCACAGCTTCCTGCTGTCCTGGGAAGCACCTGGATAGCTGGGCATGTGATCCTACCCACCTCTGTTATTGATAGCCAGGGAGGTGATGCTTGCTAGAGCTTCTGGCTCAGTAGGCCACTTCTGTGTGAACTCTGCTGGAGGGCATAGATTCCTGCTGTTCCAGGAAACACCTACATGGCAGGGCACATTACCCCACCCAACCACACTATTGATAGCCAGGCAGACAACTCTTGCTAGAGATTCTGGTCCAGTGGCTTTGTTTCTGTGTGAACTCAACTGGAGGGTGCAGCTGCCAACTGTCAGAGGAAATACCCAGATGGCAGAGCACGTGACCCCACTTACACCACCATTGATAGCCAGGCAGGCAATGCCTTCTAGAACATTGAGCCCAGCAGCCCCACTTCTATGTGAGCTCAACTAGAGGGAGCAGCTTCTTGCTGTCCTGGGAAGCATGTATATGGCAGAGCATGTGACCCCACCCACCCCTGCCACTGGTAGCCAGGAAGGCAACACCTGATGGAGTTTTTGGATCAGTGGCCCCACCTCTGTGTGAGTTCAGCTATAGGGCACAGCTTCCTGTTGTCCCAGTAAACACCTGGACAGCAGCACACGTGACCCCACACCTCTGCCACTGGTAGCCAGGCAGGGAACACCTGCTAGAGCTTCCGGCTCAGTGGCCTCACTTCTATGGGAATTCAGCTGGTGGATGCAGCCTCCTGTTGTCCCAGGAAGCACCTAGATGGCAGGACAGGTGTTTGCACCCACTGCCACTGCTGGTAGCCAGGTGAGCCATGCCTGCTAGAACTTCTGGCCCAGCAGTCCTACTTCTGCCTGAAATTGCAGAGAGGCACAGTCCCCCTGTTGCCCTGGACACCCTGTGATCACAGGGTAGGCAATTTCACCCACCCCTACCTCCCACAGCCAGACAGGCCACACCTGTGAGAGCTTCCAACCCAGCAGTCCCACTTTTGCCAGAACTCTGTAGGGGGTGCAACCCTGTGTTTCTCCGGGAAGCACACAGACAGCAGATTAAGGCCAACCTGGCAAGGATACATCTTGTATGCCAACTGTGGCCCCTGCCTGATGGAGCCCCATAGACCAGAACACTCAAAAGAAGAAATGTTGGCACAGACAGTAATTGGATGGGACTCCTCCAAGATCCAAGAGCAGACTAGAATCAAAACCAATCAACCAAGCCTACCATATACCATAATCTAACCCCCAAGGGCATCAAAGAAGAAAGAAGAAAAAAAAATCCATCCAAAGATGGCAACTTCAAAGTAGAAGGAATATCAGCCTACACAGATGAGAAGGAATCAGCACAAGAATGGAAGTATTAGCAGCAGAATGGACAAAGCTGAGGAAATAATCTCAGAACTTAAAGACTGGCTTTCTGAAATAAGACAGTCAGACAAATTTTTTTAAAAAACAGAAAAGAAAGGAATGAACAAAACCCCTGAGAAATACGGTATTATGTAAAGAGACCAAATCCATGACTCATTAGTGTTCCAGAAAGAGAAGGGGAGAAACTAAGAAATTTAGGAAACATATTTCAGGATATAACATGAAAACTTTCCCAACCTCACTAGAAAGGTCATCATTCAAATTCAGGAAATGCAGAGAACCCCTGAAAGATACTATGCAAGAAGACCATCCCCAAGAAACATACTCATCATATTCTCCAAGGTTGAAATAAAAGAAAAAATGTTAAAGGCAGCTAGAGAAAAAGGGCAGATCATCTACAAAGGGAATCCTATGAGGCTAAAAGTAGACCTTTCAGCAGAAACCCTACAAGCCAAAAGAGATTGGGGTCCTATATTCAACATTTTTAAGGAAAAAAAAGTCTCAAACCAAGAATTTCATATCTGGCCAAACTAAGTTTCAAAAGTGAAAGAGAAATACAATCCTTATCAGACAAGCAAATGCTGAGGAAATTCATTACCACCAGACCTGCCCTACAAGTGCTCCTGAAAGGAGCGCTAAATAGGAAAGACCATTACCAGCTGCTATAAAAACACACTTAAATACACAGACCAGTGACACTACAAAGCAACCACACAAACAGATCTGCATAACTAGCTAACAACATGATGACAGAATCAAATTTGCACAGATGAATATTAACCTTGAATGTAAATGGGCTAAATGCCCCAATTAAAAAGCACAGAGTGGCAAGCTGAATAAAGAAGAAAGACCCAGTGTTACACTGTCTTCCAGAGACCCATCTTGGGGGCTGGGTGTGGTGGCTCACACCTGTAATCCCAGCACTTTGGGAGTACAAGGCGGGTGGATCACCTGAGGTCGGGAGTTTGAGCCCAGCTTGGCCAACATGGCAAGACTCCATCTCTACTAAAAATACAAAAATTAGCCAGGCATGGTGGCACACACCTCTAATCCCAGCTACTCAGGAGGCTGAGGTGGGAGAATTCCTTGGATCTTGGAGGTGGAGGCTGCAGTGAGCTGAGATCTGCCACTGCACTCCAACCTGGGCAAAGAGTGGGGTTCTGTCTCAAAAAAAAAAAAAAAAGAGAGAGAGAAAGAGAGAGACCCATTTCACATGCAATGACAGAAAACAGAAAAAAGCATGGGATGCAATCTTAATTTCAGACAAAACAGACTTTAAACCAACAAAGATTAAAACATAAAGGAAAGGTGTTCATTATATAATAGTAATGGGTTCAATTCAATAAGAAGACCAAACTATCCCAAATATATACACACCCAACACAGGAGCACACAGATTCATAAAGCAAGTTCTTAGAGACCTACAAAGAGACTTAAATTTCCACACAATAATAGTGTGAGACTTCAACACCCCACTGACCATATTAGATAGATCATTGAGGGAGAAAATTAACAAAGATATTCAGGACCTGTACTCAACACTTGAACAAATGGACTTAATAGGCATCTACAGAATTTTCCACCCCAAAACAACAGAACATACATTCTTCTCATTGCCACATGGAACATACTCCAGAATTGGCCACACAACAGTACATAAAGCAATACTTGGCAAAGTCAAAAAAATCAAAATTGGCCGGGTGTGGTGGCTCAAGCCTGTAATCCCAGCACTCTGGGAGGCCAAGGCACTTAGGGAGCATGGATCACGAGATCAGGGGATCAAGACCATCCTGGCTAACATGGTGAAACTCCGTCTGTACTAAAAATACAAAAAATTAGCCGGGTGTGGTGGCAGGCGCCTATAGTCCCAGCTACTCAGGAGGCTGAGGGAGGAGAATGGCGTGAACCCAGGAGGCAGAGCTTGCAGTGAGCTGAGATCACACCACTGCACTCCAGCCTGGGTGACAGAGCGAGATACCGTCTCAAAAAAAAAAAAAAAAAAAATCTAAATTACACTCTTGGGGCACAACACAATAAAAATAGAAATTAATACTAAGAAAATCACTCAAAACCATACAATAACATGGGAATTAAACCACCTGCTCTTTAATGACTTTTAGGTGAACAATAAAATTAAGGTGGAAATAAAAAAAAATGAAACTAATGAGAACAAAGATACAACATACCAAAACCTCTGGGACACTGATAAGGCAATGTTAAGAGGGAAGTTTATAGCACTAAATGCCCACACCAGAAAGTCAAAAAGATCTCAAATTAACAACCTAACATCACAAGTAGACGAACTAGAGAAGCAAGAGCAAATCAACCCCAAAGCTAGCAGAAGACAAGAAATGACCAAAATTAGAGCTGAACTGAAGGACATTAACAATTTTTTTAAAAATTTAAAGGATCAATAAATCCAGGAGTTTTTTTGAAAAAAATAATAAAATAGACCACTAGCTAGACTAACAAAAAAGAAGAGAGAAAATCCAAATAAACACATTAGAAATGAAAAAGGGGATATTACCACTTACCCCACAGAAATACAAATAACCATCAGGAAATATTATGAACACCTGTATGTACACAAACTAGAAAACCTAGAAGAAATGGATAAATTCCTGGACGCATACACCCTGTCAAGACTGAACAGGAATAAATTGAATTCCTGGACAGAGCAACCAAAAAAAAAAAAAAAATGCCCAGGACCAGACAGATTCACAGCCAAATTCTACCAGATGTATAAAGAAGAGCTGGTGTTATTCCTACTGAAACTATTTTAAAAATTGAGAATGAGGGACTCCTCCCCAACTCTTTCTGTGAGACCAGAATTATCTTGATTCTAAAACCTAATGGATACACAGCAAAAAAAGAAAACTTCAGGCCAATATCCTTAGTGAACATAGGTGCAAAAATCCTCAAGAAAAGTCAAGCAAACCTAATTCATCAGAACATCAAAAAGCTAATCCACACTATCAAGTAGGCTTTATTTCTGGAATGCAAAGTTGGTTTAATACACAAAAATCAATAAATGTGATTCATCACACAAACAGAACTAAAAACAAAAACCACATGATTATCTCGATACAGAAAAGCCTTTTGATAAAACTCAACATTCCTTCGTGTTAAAAAAAAGAACCTCAAAAAACTAGGCATTGAAAGAACATGTCTTATAATAAGAACCATCTGTGATAAAACCACAGCCAACATAGTACTGAATGGGCAAAAGCTGAAAGCATTCCTCTTGAAAACCAGCAAGCACAAGACAAAAATGTCCTGTCTCACCACTCTTATTCAACGTAGCATTGGAATTCCTGGCCAGAGCAATCAGGCAAGAGAAAGAAATAAAAAGCATCCAAATAGGAAGAGAGGAAGTCAAACTACCCCTGTTTGCAGACAACATGATTCTATAGCTAGAAAACCCCAGAGTCTTATAACCACCCAATGAGTCCTTCCTTTTGGCTGCACAAATGAAATTGATGCAATGAGACTATGACATTGCAGTAAACAGAGAGTTTAATAAACACAAAGCCACACATGCCACATGGGAGATAGGGTTATTACTCGAATCAATCTTTCCAAAGGCTTGGAAGTTAGGGGTTTTTCAAATATAGTTTGGTGGGCAGGGGTCTAAGGTAGGGAGCATGCTGATTGGTTGGGTTGGAGATGAAATCATAGGGAATCAAAGCTGTCACCTTGTGCTGAGTCAGTTTCTGGGTGGGGGCCATAGAACTGGTTGGTGGGTCCAGATGAGACTATCCAGTTGTCAGACATGCAAAAACCTCAAAAGACATCTTAAAAGACCAATTTTAGGTACTATAATGGTGGTGTTATCTACAAGAATAATTGGGAAATTGCAAATCTTATGACCTCTGGAATAATGGCTGGCAATTATTTAGAATTCAAGCCTCTCTTATCCTCCCTAACTAGGTGGCCTTTCATTTGCTATACAAGAATAGCTTAGTTTTGGGGAAGGGCTATTATTATCATTTAAACTATAAACTAAATTTCTACCAAAGCTAGCTTGGTCCACACCTAGGAATAAGCAAAGACAGCCAACCTGTGAGATTTTAAGCAAGTTGAAGTCAGCCATGTCAGATTTCTCTTACTATCTGTATTAGTTCATTTACATGCTGCTGATAAAGACATACCCGATACTGGGCAATTTATTAAGGAAAAAGCATTAATGGATAACTCACAGTTCCATGTGGCTGGGGAAGCCTCACAATCATGGTGGAAGACAAGGAGGAGCAAGTCACATCTTACATGGATGGTGGCAGGCAAAGAGAGAGCTTCTGCAGGCAAACTTTCTTTTTTTAAAACCATTAGATCTTTGAGACTCAGTCACTATCATGAGGGCAGTGCAGGAAAGACACACCCCTATAATTCAATCACCTCCCACCAGGCTCTTCTCATTACATGTGGGAACTGTGGGAGTTACAATTCAAGAGGAGATTTGGGTGGGGACACAGAGCCATACATATCACTGCCAAAATTTTGCAAAGATGATTTCAGTCCCTTCCCAAAAGCTCCTTGATCTGAAAAACAACTTTAGCAAAGTTTCAGGAAGCAAAATCAACATTCAAATATCAGTAACATTCCTGTACACAAACAACATCCAAGCTGAGAGCCAAATCAGGATTACAATTCCATTCACAACTGCCATGAAAAAGAAAAAAAAACCTAATACAGCTAACCAGGAGAGTGAATGATCTCTACAACAGTAATTACAAAACACTGCTCATAGAAACCAGAGACAACACAAACAAATGAAAAAACATTCCATGCTCATGGTTAGGAAGAATCAACATTGTTAAAATAGCCATAGTGCCCAAAGTGATTTACAAGTTCAATGCTATTCCTTTTAAACTACCAATGACATTATTCAAAGAACTAGAAAAAAAGATTTTAAATTTTACATGGAACGTAAAAAGAGCCCAAATACCCAAGGCAATTCTAAATAAAAAGAAAAAAGCAGGAAGTGTTACATTACCCAACTTCAAACTATACTACAGAGGTACAGTAACCTAAACAGCATAGTACTGATGCAAAAACAGATACATAGACCAATGGAACAGAATAGAGATCTCAGAAATAATGCCACACACCTAAAATCATCTGATCTTTGACAAAGTTGACAAAAACAAGCCATAGGGAAAAGACATCTCATTCAATAAATGGTGCTGGGATCACTGACTGGCCATATGCAGAAGATTGAAATTGGACCCCTACCTTAAACCGTATATAAAAATCAGCTCAAGATGGATTTAAGACTTAAATATAAAAGCTAAAACCATTTCAAAAAATACCCTAGAAGATAACTATATTAGTCCGTTTTCATGCTGCTGATAAAGGCATCCCCAAGACCGGGCAATTTACAAAAGAAAGAGCTTAAATAGACTTATAGTTCCATTTGGCTGGGAAGGCCTCAGTTATGGCAGAAGGCAAAAGGCACTCCTTACATGGCAGCAGCAACACAGAATGAGAGCCAAGAAAAAGGGGTTTCCCTTTATAAAACCATTAGATCTCTTGAGATTTATTCATTACCATGAGAACAGTATAGGAGAAACTACTCCCATGATTCAATTATCTCCCACTGGGTCCCTCCCACAACACGTGGGAATTATAGATGGGAATTCAAGATGATATTTGGGTGGGTACACAGAGCCAAACCATATCATTCCACACCTGGCTCCTCCCAAATCTCATGTCCTCACATTTCAAAACCAATCATGCCTTCCCTACAGTCCCCCAGAGTCTTAACTCATTTCAGCATTAACTCAAAAGTCCACAGTCCACAGTCTCATCTGAGACAAAGCATGTTCCTTCCACCTATGAGCCTGTAAAATCAAAAGCAAGTTAGTTACTTCCAAGATACAATGAAGGTACAGACATCGGGTTAATACAGCTGTTCCAAATGGGAGAAATTGACCAAAACAAAGAGGCTACAGGCCCCATGCAAGTCTGAAATCCAGCAGGGCAGTCAAATCTTAAAGCTCCAAAATGATGTCCTTTGAGTCCATGTCTCACATCCAGGTCATGCTGATGCAAGAGGTGGACTCCCATGGTCTTGGGCAGCTCCAGCCCTGTGGCTTTGCAGGTTAGAGCCCTGCTCCTGGCTGCTTTTACAAGCTGGCATTGGATGTCTGTGGCTTTTCCAGGCAAATGGTGCAAGCTGTTGGTGGATCTACCATTCTGGGCCCTGGAAGATGGTGGCCCTCTTCTCACAGCTCCACTAGGTGGTGCCCCAGTAGGAACTCTGTCTGGGGGCTTCAACCTCACATTTCCCTTCTGCACTGCCCTAGCAGAGCTTCTACATGAGGGCCCCAGCCCTGCAGCAAACTTCTATCTAGGCATCCAGGTGTTTCCATACATCCTCTGAAATCTAGGCAGAGGTTCCCAAACCTCAATTCTTGACTTCTGTGCACTCACCGGCTCAACACCACATGAAAGCTGCCAAGGCTTGTGGCTTCCACCCTCTGAAGCAGCAGCCTGAGCCATACTTTGGCCCCTTTTAGCCATGGTTGGAGTTGCTGGAACACAGGGTACCAAGTCCCTAGGCTGCACAAAGCAGGGAGTCCTGGGTTCGACCCATGAAACCATCTATTCCTCCTAGGTCTCTGGGCCTGAGATGGGAGTGGCTGCTGTGAAGACCTCTGACGTTCCCTGGAGACATGTCTCCCATTGTCTTGGGGATTAATGTTAGGCTCCTCATTACTTTTGCAAATTTCTGCAGCCATCTTGAATTTCTCCCCAGAAAATGGGATTTTCTTTTCCATCACATTTTCAGGCTATGAATTTTCCAAACTTTTACACTCCATTTCCTTTTTAAAACTGAGTGCCTTTAAGAGTAGCCAAGTCACCTCTTGAATGCTTTGCTGCTTAGAAATTTCTTCTGCCAGACACCCTAAATCATCTCTCCCAAGTTCAAAGTTCCACAAATCTCTAGGGCAGGGGCAAAATGCTGCCAGTCTCTTTGCTAAAACATAACGAGAGTCACCTTTGCTCCAGTTCCCAACAAGTTCCTTATCTCCACCTGAGATCACCTCAGCCTGGATCTTATTGTCCATATCACTATCAGCATTTTGGGCAAAGCCATTCAACAAGTCCCTGGAAAGTTCCAAACTTTCCCACATTTACCTGTCTTCTTCTGAGTCCTCCAAACTGTTCCAACCTCGGCCTGTTACCCAGTTCCAAAGTCGCTTCCACATTTTCAGGTATCTTTTCAGCAGTGCCCCACTCCTGGTACCAATTTACTGTATTAGTCCATTTTCATGCTGCTGATAAAGACATACCTGAGACTGGGCAATTTACAAAAGAAAGAGCTTTAATGGACTTACAGTTCCATGTAGCTGGGAAGGCCTCACAGTCATGGTGGAAGGCAAAAGATACTTCTTACATGGTAGCAGCAAGAGAGAGAATGAGAGCCAAGTGAAAGGGGTTTCTCCTTATAAAACCATTAGTTCTTGTGAGACTTATTCACTACCATGAGAACAGTATGGGAGAAACCACGCCCATGACTCAATTATCTCTCACCAGGTCCATCCCACAATACCTGGGAATATGGAAGTACAATTCAAGATGAGATTTGGGTGCAAACACAGAGCCAAATCGTATCAATCACCTAGGAAATACCATTCTGGACATAGAACTTGGCAAAGATTTCATAATGAAGGAAACAAAAGCAATTGCGACAAAAACAGGAATTGACAAATGTGAGCCCATTAAATGAAAAAGCTTCTGCACAGCAAAATAAACTATCAACAGAGTAAACAGACAACCTACAGAATGGGAGAAAATATCTGCAACCTAGGCATTTGATAAAAGGCTAATATTCAGAATTTATAAGGAAGTTAAAGAGATTTATAAGCAAAAAAAAATCCAACTCCATTAAAAACAAGGTAAAGAACATGAACAGACACTTTTCAAAAGAAGACATACATGTGGCCAACAAGCATATGAAAGAATGTTCAACATCACTAATCATTACAGAAATGCAAATCAAAACCACAATGAGATAACTATCTCACACCAGTCAGAATGACTATTATTAAAAAGTCAAAAAATAACAGATGCTTGCAAGGTTGTGGAAAAAAATGAAAAGCTTAGACTGCTGGTGAGTGTGTAAATTAGTTCAGCCTTTGTGGAAAGCAGTGTGGCAATTCCTCAAAGAGCTAAAAACATAATTACCATTCGACCCAGCAATCCCATTATTGGGTATATACTCAAAGGAATATAAATTGTTCCACCATAAAGACACATGCATGTGTATGTTTATTACAGCCCTGTTCACAATAGCAAAGACAAAATTAACCTAAATGCCCATCAACAGTATACTGCATAAAGTAAATATGGTACATATACACCATGGAATACTATGCAGCCATAAAAAAGAATGAGATTGAATGAGATCATGTCCTTTGCAGTAACATGGATGGAGCTGGAGGCCATTATCCTAAGCAAACTAAAACAGAAGCAGAAAAAACAAATGCCCCATGTTCTCATTTATAAGTGGGAGCTAAACAATGAGAACACACATATGCTAGGAGGGAACAATAGACACTGGGGCCTACTTGAGTGTAGAGGGAAGGAGGAAGGAGAGGATCAGAAAAAAATACCTATTGGGTACTATGCTTATTACCTGAGTGATGTAATTATCTGTACACCAAACCCCTGTGATATGCAGTTTACCTATATAACAAACCTGCACGTGTACCCCTGAAACTAAAATAAAATTTTAAAAGTATTTAAAAAGAGGATGTTATTAGAACATGTTTCTGTCTATATTTCTTCATATAACATGGTTTTACATATGCAGCTACAAAAGGCAAATGTAAGCATGCTTTTTTTAATTTTTAAAATTTTTATAGATTCAAGAGATACACGTGCACCTTTGTAACATGGATATATTGCATAATGGTGGGGACCAGGCTTCTGGTGTACCCATCACCCAAATAGTGAACATTGTACCAAATAGGTAATTTTTCAACCTTCACCTCTCTCCCACCCTCTCTCTTTTATTCTTTATTTCTTTTTTATCTGTCTGACTGGGTTATTTCAAAAGAACTGTCTTCAAATTCTGAAATTTTTTCTTGTTTGAGCTAGTCTATTATTGAAGTTCTTTATTAAGAACATCTAAAAAATGTCAATAAAAGCATTACTGCCTCAATCATTCTCTTAATATATCCTTTCAAATCAGAGATTACATTTCTGAATCAAATAAATGTATTTTTTATTTCTTTCATTAAATTACTTAGTTTCAGAATCTCTGTTTGGTTCTTTCTTATTATATATCTATCTCTCTGGTTAGTTTCTTATTTATATCCTTACTTGTTTTTCTGATTTCTTTGTATTATTTTTTTGTGTTCTCTTATATCTCACTGAGCTTCTTCAATATCATTATTTTGGATTCTTTTTCAGGCACTTCATGAATTTCTTTTTCATTGGACTCTGTTACTGGAGAATTATTATATTCTTTTGGGGTGTTACAGAATGAGAGAGAGGCGATGAGTCACTTTAATGGTGAAGCACATTAAAATCACCTGGGGAGCTTTAAAAAATACCAATGTCCAGGCCATACAACAAATCAATTATTTCAGAACCACTGGCGTAGGATCCAGGCTTCAGGTTGTTTTTCTTTGTTTGTTTGTTTGTTTCGGTTTCCCATGTGGCTTCACTGTGTAGTCAAAGTTTCCATTTCATTATGGCAAACACACTTTATTCATCCACTGGGAGCAAAGTGTCAACTAAATCATTCATTGGATTCTGAATGATTAAACTTTATGCTCTAAACTACAGTACATTTTGAAGCCTAGCTGAGCTGCAGTACTTGTTTTTCCAGGGCTGTCTTTGTGTTCACATCCTCTGCCTTTTAAAAATATCTCCCTGGCTGAGATGAGAAGACTGCTTGAGCCTAGGAGTTCAAGACCAGCCTGGGCAACATGGTGAGACTCTGTCTTAAAAAAAAAAAAAAAAAAAGGAAATGTCTACTTATAGCCTCAAAATATCTTAAGTTCATACGATATTCTACAGCTTCACAAGAGGCTTTTATTAACTAAGTTAACTTTCCAGTTTCTGTCCTTATAACCCAAAGAGACTATCCAACACAATAAAAAATCTAAAGCTTTAATTTCCATTTTCTTTTTCTTCATGCTTGCAATTTCTGGGCCAGCAGTTCTTAAACTGGGCACCCCAGACCTGCAGCATCAGCATTGCTTGGGATGTAAATTCTTCATTCTTATACAAAACCTACTAAACCAGAAACTCTGGGGTTGAGACCTAGTAGTCTGCATTTTTAACAAGCCCTACAGGTGATTCTCATGCACTTAATATTTAGGAACCACTGCTCTAGAGACATTAACTAAAGCAGCCAGTAATTAGAGGCAGAATGTAGGCCAAACCCTTCTCTTTGAGCCTTTTTCCTCATCTGCAAAATAAGGAGACCAGAAATGTTTGCTAAAGACACTTCCAAGAGTCAAATTTTGTAATTGTGTGAAATTTGATTTGGAAATGTAACATTTGATTTGAAAGGATATATTAAGAGAATGGTTGAGGCAGTAATGCTTTTATTGACATTTTCTAGATGTTCAATTTCAAATATGCTCTACATTACCTTCCATCCATTACCCAGAACTGCTAAGATGTGTTTGTCTTAAAGCAGCAGGGTGCTGTCTGGGGAGCTCTGAGAATGCACATGTGTGACAGGCTGAGCCTAAAGACTACTGCCTGGTGTCTGCTCTCCAGTGTCCAGCGTGCTTGTGCACTATCACTCCATGTTGCTGCCCACATGTCCCTGCCAGGCAGGTGTTGGTTGTTATTTGGACACTGAAGGGTCAGACCTGGAAGATTGGGACTAGAAGATGACGTCTCCATAATTTAAGGTGCTGTACAGAGTTGGTTCAGGTCATAGGACTTGTTCTTTCATCTCATCCTTCCTCAGAATCCTCCAGCTTTCATCTGGGGATCTTTTCAAATGAAACCACTTGTTATTGTGGAGGGTGAGGTGTCCTAATGCCCCACTCTTAGAACCCGAGCCAGTCGAGGCAGCTGCATCTATCTGCATGTTTTACCTGTGGAGTCCATACTTGTTGAGCTTTTTGTTTGTCTGTTTGTTTGGCATTGTTTTATTATATCATAAAAAGGTTTTCCTCTAAAAAAAAAGTGTTTGTCTTCCATTAACTCCTTTACTGAAACCAACAATTATGAACTTAATGCCCCTGTACAAAAACAAGACTAAATTGCCAGAAATGATTTCTATGACTTTTTTTTACTATTGTTCTTTAATGAGAAAGGTGCTAATTTGAGGAATCCTTTGTCAAAGATGAACTTGAAAACATTTTTGCAAAAGTCAGTGAGTCTTTTCCTTCTGAAATCATTTTCTAACTTTAAAATTACAAAGAAATTCGAGTTAGAAAGAGGCATCCACAAAATATGCAGAAGAAGCCTTATTTCCTTTTATAAACAGAAAGGCATATATCTCCTATTTAGAAAGCTACCCTCAGTCTTGGTGGCTGGCAAGATGGCCAAACAGGAACAACTCCAGTTTGTAGCTCCCAGCAAGATCAATGCAGAAGGCAGGTGATTTCTGTATTTCCAACTGAGGTACATGGGTCATCTCATTGGGAATGGTTAGACAGTGGTTGCAGAGCATGGAGGGTGAGTGCAGGCTGGAATGTTGCCTCACCCAGGAAGCACAAGGGGTCAGGGAAATCCCTCTTCTAGCCAAGGGAAGCCATGAGGAACTGTGCTGTGAGGAACAGTGTACTCTGGCCCGGATACTATGCTTCTCCCACAGCCTTCACAACCTCTAGACCAGGAGATTCCCTCCGGTGCCTATGCCAACATGGCCCTGGGTTTCAAGCACAAAACTGGGCGGCCATTTGGGCAGACACTGCGCTAGCTGCAGGAGTTTTTTTTCATAACCGAGTGGCACCTGGAACACCAGCAAGACAGAACCATTCATTCTCCTGGAAAGGGGGCTGAAGCCAGGGAGCCAAGTGGTCTAGCTCAGCGGATCCCACCCCCATGCGGCCCAGCAAGCTAAGACCCACTGGCTTGAAATTCTCAATGCCAGTACAGCAGTCTGCAGTCTACCTGGGACATTTGAGCTTGGTTGGGGGACAAGTGTCCGCCATTACTGAGGCTTGAGTAGGAGGTTTTCCCCTCACAGTGTAAAAAAAGCTGCCAGGAAGTTCGAAATGGATGGAGCCCACCGCAGCTGGGCAAAGCCACGGTGGCCAGACTGCCTCTCTAGATTCCTCCTCTCTGGGCAGGGCATCTCTGAAAAAAAGGCAGCAGCCCCAGTCAGGGGCTTATAGATCAAACTCCCATCTCCCTGGGACAGAGCACCTCGGGGAAGGGGTGGCTGTGGGCGCAGCTTCAGCAGACTTAAATGTTCCTGCCTGCCAGCTCTGAAAAGAGCAGTGGATTTCCCGGCACAGCTTTCAACCTCTGCTAAGGGACAGACTGCCTCCTCAGGTGGGTCCCTGACCCCTGTGCCTACTGACTGGGAGACACCTCACAGCAGGGGCCAACAGACACCTCATACAGGAGAGCTCCAGATGGCATCTGTGGGTGCCCCTCTGGGACGAAGCTTCCAGAGAAAGAACAGGCAACAATCTTTGCTGTTGTGCAGCCTCTGCTGGTGACACAGACCAACAGGGTCTGGAGTGGACCTCCAGCAAACTCCAGCAGACCTGCAGCAGAGGGGCCTGACTGTTAGAAGAAAAACTAACACACAGAAAGTAACAGCATCAACATCAACCAAAAGGACGTCCACACAGAAACTCCATCTGAACCTCACCAACATCAAAGACCTAAGGTAGATAAATCCACAAAGATGAGGAAAAACCAGCGCAAAAAGGCTGAAAATTCCAAAAACCAGAATGCCTCTTCTCCAAAGGATCACAACTCCTCACCAGCAAGGGAGCAAAACTGGATGGAGAATGAGTTTGATGAATTGACAGAAGTAGGCTTCAGAAGGTGGGTAATAACAAACTCCTCTGAGCTAAAGGAGCATGTTCTAACCCAATGCAAGGAAGGTAAAAACCTTGAAAAAAGGTTAGAGGAATTGCTAACTAGAATAACCAGTTTAGAGAAGAACATAAATGACCTGATGGAACTGAAAAACACAGCATGAGAACTTCATGAAACATACACGAGTATCAATAGCCAAATCGATCAAGTGGAAGAAAGGATATCAGAGATTGAAGATCAATTTGATGAAATAAAGTGTGAAGACAAGTTTTGAGATAAAAGAATAAAAAGAAATGAACAAAGGCTCCAAAAAATATGGGACTATGTGAAAAGACCAAACCTATGTTTGATTGGTGTACCTGAAAGTGATGGGGAGAATGGAACCAAGTTGGAAAACACTCTTCAGGATATTATCCAGGAGAACTTCCCCAATCTAGCAAGACAGGCCAACATTCAAATTCAGGAAATACAGAGAACACCACAAAGATACTCCTCGAGAAGAGCAACCCCAAGACACATAATCATCAGATTCACCAAGGTTAAAGTGAAGGAAGAAATGTTAAGGGCAGCCAAAGAGAAAGATTGAGTTACCCACAAAGGGAAGCCCATCAGACTAACAGCTGAACTCTCTGCAGAAACCCTATAAGCCAGAAAAGAATGGGGGCCAATATTCGACATTCTTAAAAGAATTTTCAACCCAGAATTTCATATCCAGCCAAACTAAGCTTCATAAGCGAAGGAGAAATAAAATCCTTTACAGACAAGCAAATGCTGAGAGATTTTCGCACCACCAGACCTGCCTTACAAGAGCTCCTGAAGGAAGTACTAAACATGGAAAGGAACAGCCAGTACCAGCCACTGCAAAAACATACCAAATTGCAAAGAATAGCAACACTATGAAGAAACCGCATTAACTAATGGGCAAAACAACCAGCTAGCATCATAATGACAAGATTAAATTCACACATAACAATATTAACCTTAAATGTAAACGGGTTAAATGCCCCAGTTAAAAGACACAGACTGGCAAATTGGATAAACAGTCAAGACCCATCAGTATGCTGTATTAAGGAGCTCCATCTCACGTGCAAAGACACACATAGGCTCAAAATAAAGGGATGGAGGAATAGGAGGAATATTTACCAAGCAAATGGAAAGCAAAAAAAAAAAAAAAAAAAAAAAAAAAAAAAAAAAAAAAAAAGCAGGGGTTGCAATCCTAATCTCTGATAAAACAGACTTTAAACCAACAAAGATCAAAAGAGACAAAGAAGGGCATTACATAATGGTAGGGGGATCAATGCAACAAGAAGAGCTAACTATCCTAAATATATATGCACCCAATACAGGAGCACCCAGATTCATAAAGTAAGTTCTTAGAGACCTACAAAGAGACTTAAACTCCCACACAATAATAGTGGGAGATTTTAACACCCCACTGTCAACATTAAACAGATCAATCAGACAGAAAATTCACAAGGATATTCAGGACTTGAACTCAGCTCTTGACCAAGTGGACCTAATAGACATCTACAGAACTCTCCACCCCAAATCAACAGAATATACATTCTTCTCAGCACCACGTCACACTTATTCTAAAATTGACCACATAATTGGAAGTAAAACACTCCTCAGCAAATGTAAAAGAACAGAAATCACAACAAACTGTCTGTCAGACCACAGTGTAATCAAATTAGTACTCAGGATTAAGAAACTCACTCAAAACTGCACAACTACATGGAAACTGAACAACTTGCTCATGAGTGACTACTGGGTAAATAATGAAATGAATAACGAAATAAGTAAGTTCTTTGAAACCAATGAGAACAAAGACACAACGTACCAGAATCTCTGGGACACATTTAAAGCAGTGTCTAGAGGGAAATTTATAGCACTAAATGCCCACAAGAGAAGGCAGGAAAGATCTAAAATCGACATCCTAACATCACAATGAAAAGAACTAGAGAAGCAAGAGCAAACAAATTCAAAAGCTAGCAGAAGGCAAGAAATAACTAAGATCAGAGCAGACCTGAAGGAGGTAAAGACACAAAAAAAACCTTTAAAAAAATCAATGAATCCAGGAGCTGTTTTTTGTTTGTTTGTTTGTTTGCTTTTAAAGATCAACAGGATAGATAGACTGCTAGCCAGACTAATAAAGAAGAAAAGAGAGAAGAATCAAATTGACTCAATAAAAATGATAAAGGGGATACCACCACTGATCCCACAGAAATACAAACTACCATCACAGAATGCTATAAACACCTCCACACGAATAAACTAGAAAATCTAGAAGAAACAGATAAATTCCTGGACACATACACCCTCCCAAGGCTAAACCAGGAAGAAGTCGAATCCCTGAATAGACCAATAACAAGTTCTGAAATTGAGGCAGTAATTAATAGCCTACTAACCAAAGAAACCCAGGACCAGATGTATTCACAGCTGAATTCTACCAGAGGTACAAAGAGGAGCTGATATCATTCCTTCTGAAACTACTCCAAACAATAGAAAAAGAGGGACTCCTTCCTAACTCATTTTATGAGGCCAGTATCATTTGATACTAAAACCTGGCAGAGACACAACAAAAAAGAAAATTTCAGGCCAATATACCTGGTTAACATTGATGCGAAAATCCTCAATAAAATAAACCAATTCCAGCAGCACATCAAAAAGCTTATCCACAAAGATCAAGTAAGCTTCATCCCTGGGATGAAAGGCTGGTTCAACATACACAAATCAATAAACATAATCCATCACATAAGCAGAACCAATGACAAAAACCACATGATTATCTCAATAGGTGCAGAAAAGGCCTTCAATAAAATTCAACACCCTTCACGCTGAAAACTCTCAATATACTAGGTATTGAGGGAACGTATCTCAAAATAATAAGAGCTATTTATGACAAGCTCACAGCCAATATCATACTGAATGGGCAACTGTTGGAAGCAGTCCCTTTGAAAACCAGCACAAGGCAAGGATGCCCTCTCTCACTACTCCTATTCAACATAGTATTGGAAGTTCTGGACAGGGCAATCAGGCAAGAGAAAGAAATAAAGCATATTCAAATAAGAAGAGAGGAAGTCAAATTTTCTCTGTTTGCAGATGACATGATTGTATATTTACAAAACCCCATCGTCTCAGTCAAAAATCTCCTTAAGCTGATAAACAACTTCAGCAAAGTCTCAGGATACAAAATCAAAGTGCAAAAATCACAAGCATTCCTATACACCAATAACACACAAACAGAGAACCAAATCATGGGTGAACTCCCATTTACAATTGCTACAAAGAGAATAAAATAGTTAGGAATACAACTTTCAAAGGATGTGAAGGACCTCTTCAGGGAGAACTACAAACCATTGCTCAAGGAAATAAGAGAGGACACAAACAAATATAAAAACATTCCATGCTTATGGATAGGAAGAATCAATATCGTGAAAATGGCCATACTGCCCACAGTAATTTATAGATTCAATGCTATCCCCATTAAGCTACCACTGACTTTCTTCACAAAATTGGAAAAAACTACTTTAAACTTCATATGGAACCAAAAAAGAGCCCGCATAGCCAAGACCATCCTAAGCAAAAAGAACAAAGCTGGAGGCATTATGCCACCTGACTTCCAACTATACTACAAGGCTAAAGTAACGAAAACAGCATGGTACTGGTACCAAAACAGACATATAGACCAATGGAACAGAACAGAGGCCTCAGAAATAATGCCACACAGCTACAACCATCCGATCTTTAACAAACCTGACAAAAGCAATGGGGAAAGGATTCCCTATTTAATAAATGGTGTGGAGAAAACTGGCTAGCCATATGCAGAAAACTGAAACTGGACCTTTTCCTTACACCTTATACAAAAATTAACTCAAGATGGATTAAAGAATAAAACATAAGATGTAAAACCATAAAAACCGTAGAAGAAAACGTAGGCAATACCATTCAGGACATAGGCATGGGCAAAGACTTCATGACTAAAACACCAAAAGCAATAGCAACAAAAGCCAAAATTGACAAATGGGACCTAATTATACTAAAGAGTTTCTACACAGCAAAAGAAACTATCATCAGAGTGAACAGGCAACCTACAGAATGGAAGAAAATGTTTGTAATCTATCCATCTAACAAAGGGCTAATATCCAGAATCTGCAAGGAACTTAAACAAATTTACAAGAAAACAAACAACCCCATCAAAACCTGGGCGAAGGATATGAACAGACACTTCTCAAAATAAGACATTTATGCAGCCAACAAACATGAAAAAAACTCATCATCACTGGTCATTAGATAAATGCCAATCATACCACAATGAGATACTATCTCATGCCAGTTAGAATGGCAATCATTAACAAGTCAGGAAACAACAGATGCTGGAGAGGATGTGGAGAAATAGGAATGCTTTTACACTCATGCTGGGATTGTAAATTAGTTCAACTATTGTGGAAGACAGGGATTTAGATCAAGGATCCAGAACCAGAAATAAATTTGACCCAGAATTCCATAACTGGGTATATATCCAAAGGATTATAAATCATTCTACTATAAAGACACATGCACACGTATGTTTACTGCAGCACTGTTCACAATAGCAAAGACTTGGAACCAACTCAAATGCCCGTCAATGATCGACTGGATAAAGAAAATGTGGCACATATACACTATGGAATACTATGCAGCTGTAGAGAAGGATGAGTTCATGTCCTTTGCAGGGACATGGATGAAGCTGGAAACCATCATTCTCAGCAAACTAACACAGGAACAGAAAACCAAATATCTCATGATCTCACTCGTAAGTGGGAGTTGAACAATGAGAACACATGGACACAGGGAGGGGAACATCACACACCAGGGCCTGTCAGGGGGTGGGGGCCAGGGGAGGGATAGCATTAGGATAAATACCTAATGTAGACGATGGGTTGATGGGTTCAGCAAACCACCATGGCACGTGTATACCTATGTAACAAAACGGCACGTTCTACATATGTATCTTGGAACTTAAAGTATAATAATAAAAAAAAAAAGAAAAAAAAAGAAAGCCGCCTTCTACCTTTTACAAAATAAGGATTCCAGGAAAAGGCAGTAATTTATTCCAAGCTAGACTCCCCTTGTAATTATAACTCAGATGTCTACCCTTTTTCCCAGTTTTCTCTAATGTGTATGCATAAGCAGATCTGCATTATAGTGTCACAGTCCTCTTGGCTTGAGCACACTGTGGGATCAGATGGTTTTCCCCACTGCTCTTACTGGGTCACTGCTGGCTGCACTTCTCACCATGCATTAAATAGTCCACTTAACCAGCTAATATCCCTTCTCTGTTGGAGCTAGGGATAAAATGAGGAATTCCAGCCTCTCCTTCCCTAACCTTCTGATTCCTTCCGTCTCATTGAGGCACGTTTTCTTTGAAGGTTAGGGAAATTTTCAAAGGGATTAACACCATGGAAACAGGGACAAAGTCCTTTCTAACTGGGACTTTGCCAGAGTCCTGCAGGTACAGCATCAGAGCCTGGAGGGCCCTTCTCTTATGTATCCCCCAACCCAAAGAGCCTGGTCCATGGTCTTTCCAGATCAATCCCAACCATTTCCCTCAAGCAGCCAGCCCCTACCCACAGGGAACAGTCATAAGTCCTGAATCCATTCTCATTCCAACTGTGTACTTCACCCAAGTCTGCGTCATTCAGTCTGGAGGGGTCCCAGGGATGCGGCTAGGCTTTTAGCAATGCTGTACTCAGCTTGTACTGCAGGAGCAGGCAACTATCACTGCTGCTCTTGGTATTGAGGACTACTATGGTCTTGTGTCCTGACTTGCTTCTCAATATTATCTCCAGTATAACCTGTTGGCTTATCATCATGTTGTTTAAGCATGAGACCTATTAGAATAAGCACATGCATATTTCTCATAGACAGTTATTGCACTTTTTGGAGAAGAGATTAAACAAGAAAATATTTCTTTAATGTTATGAGTTGAATTGTGTCTCCCGCAAAACTCATATATGAAAGTCCTAACCCCCAGTACCTCCAAATGTTACTTTATTTGGAATATATCTGTCATTGCAGATATACTTAGATGAGATGAGGTCATACTAGAGTAGGGTGGGCCCTTAATCCAATATGACTGGTGTCTTTATAAAAGAATGCCATGACTGAGACAGACACACACAGGGAGGATGAAGGCAAAAATCTGTACAAGCCAAGAAACACCAAAGATTTCCAGAAAACCACTAGAAATTGGCAAAGAGACATAGAACAGGCTCTTCTGCACAGCCCTCTGAGGGAAAAACCCTATTGACACCTTAATCTGGGGCTTCTAGCCTCCAGGACTGTCAGACAAGACATTTCTACTGTTTAAGCCACCTAGTTTGTGGTACTTTGTAATGGCAGCCCTAGAAAACTAACACACTTAAGTGTCCATACACTGCTTTTCTCCTCTGAAATTAGGAATTCCATTATTGTGTTTGTGTTCTCCACGCCCCTCCATTCCACCCCCAGCCACCATTGCCTTGGGGCCCACCAGAATAACATGAGATGAAATGCCTTTTAACAACTGGTTTGTTACCTGTATCACCCAAAATGAGCTCTGGACTGATCATTGTTGCAAAGATTCCATTGACTTTTTGGTCATATGAAGTTTTCTTTTGGGTGGGACATGGAGTGAAGAGTGGGGAGGATGTGGCCAATATTTCTAATAATGTTAGATGATCTTGGTACTTTAGGCTGCTTTGTTTTTTTTCTAAAAGGCCAATGGCCAGCCAGGAATGATGTGTAAAGTCAGCAATGGAAATTATTAACTGTCTAGCCAACACTGTCACCTATCTTTGACCTTTTTGATGGAACCGAACTTGGGTCAGTGGAGTTGATTGAGATCTCTTGAAGAGGGCCTCCTAGCAGAGGAGCCCTCTAGCATGCAGTACTCCATGTGTGCCAGAAGGTGTCGCTCCATCACAGCTGGTACTGGAAAGAAAGCCCTGCTCCTCACTAAATCCATTTCTTTTAAATCTAAGACCAAGTAGTTAGTCAGCTGTGGCCAATTGTGTATTTTCCTCATGTCATTACCCAGAGAAGATATGATCAGCTATTCAAATTATGATTAAATTATTGAGGTCATTTTAAAATTAATTTATCTTACAGTCAGGTATTTTAAGATTCTTAGTAAAGTGTGTGTTTATGCTAGGAACTTTTCAAAGTGGGAGTGGGGGGCAATGTATGTCTTGCTTTCTTTCAGGATAAAGTTGTTCTAGAGATCTAGTTTCCAAGAAGAAATCTGTCAAAATGTTTTGAAAAAGTAAAGCCAACACTTGGCATTTAAGGGACTGCTTCAGAGACTGGAGCCATGGAGATTGACTGCCTTCATTCACTAGGTGATCTGATGGGGGAGGACAATAGTGCACAGAGGTAGGCAGGAAACAGGCTCTAAAGGTATATTTGACTGCTCTCTAGGTATATGGCACACCTTTCCTTAGATTATTCTCTTCCACTGGGGGAAAATGATCATAATGAATGGCCTTCATAAATACAGAGTTATACGTGCAGAAAGAAAAACACACCTCCTCAACCCAGCCCTTCTGGGGTGGGCTCTGGACAGACAGAAGTTAATTCTTTAAACTGCTCATCTACTGCTTATAAAGACTAATCTCCAAGAATTTCATTTTGTTCAAAGTAAAGGCAAACTGACAATCAGTGCTTCTGCTTGGAGTTTATGTTGCTAAAAAGCAGCCATCAGATTTATACTACCTATTGTTGGAAAGACACTCTAATGGGTCTGATTTTAAATATATATATATATATAAACAATAGGTTTCTGGTTAAGGCCTGGAAACAGAAAATCAACAAAGAAGAATGGATCTTGATCTGCAAAGTGAAGCACTCTCTCAGTTGAGGGAAGAGAAAGATGCTGGAGAGGTTGAACTTGGAGAAATGGTTCTCATTCCTCATATGAACTTAGACTCTTCCATCTCTGATTGTTTATCCTTAAAGGGTGTATATGTGGGGCTGGGAGAAGACATCCATTAGGAGCTTGCAGGAAGGATGAGGAAGAGACACAACCTCATTTCATACCTGTAGAGATTTCTCAAAGGATACCAGGAGACTTGGAGTGTCAAAGTCCCAGTGGGGCCAATCTGGCAAAGCTCCTCTCCTCGCTCTATGTTAAGATTTGGGAAATTGTTTATGGCAAATTATTGTCTTAAGATGCCTGTTGGAGAAGGGATGGGAAATACATTTATCTCTGTTAAGGGGTTTCCTGAAGGATAGGGTTTGATTTCTACTGTGCGATACTGAAGAAACTCCATTTATTCTCTTTCTGAAGAGAGTGGACACCAAGACCTTTCTGAAGAAGGTAGTAAGTGCCACCTACCCTTTTGCTGAAGGGAGATGGATTGTGTCCAGGGAAAGCCTTAACTATTTTTTAAAAATCTATAATGAGAACATTTATAATTAATATACAACTTAAGTTTATTTCCCCCTATATTGACATTTCCTATAGTCACTCATGGCTCTTTAGTAAAGTTGGTTACAGATTACACAAACAGTCTTTTGTTGGTTATATTATCATTGCCTCTGAAATTCTGACCACCCCAGAAATGAAGCACTATAAAAGGACAAGTGGAGATCAGATAGCAGCTCTAGTACTAAAAAACTGACCCAGGCCAGGTGTGGTGGCTCATGCCTGTAATCCCAGCACTTTGAGAGGCTGAGGCGGGTGGATCACTTGAGGTTGGGAGTTCGAGACCAGCCTGACCAACATGGAAAAACCCCATCTCTACCAAAAATACAAAATTAGACAGGAGTGGTGGCTCACACCTGTAATCCCAGCTACTTGGGAGGCTGAGGCAGGAGAATCACTTGAACCCAGGAGGGGGAGGTTGCAGTGAGCCAAGATCGTGCCATTGCACTCCAGACTAGGCTACAAGGGTGAAACTCCATCTCAAAAAACAAAAACAAAAACTGACCTTGAGGCTGGGCACGGTGGCTCACACCTGTAATCCCAGCACTTTGAGAGGCCAAGGCATATATATATATATAAACTCCTGAGGCCAGGAGTTCGATACCAGCCTGGCCAACATGGTGAAACTCTGCCTCTACTAAAAATGCAAAAATTACCCGGGCATGGTGGCAGGCACCTATAATCCCAGCTACTTGGGAGGCTGAGGCAGGAGAATTGCTTGAACCCAGGAGGTCAAGGTTACAGTGAGCCCAGATCGTGCCACTACACTCAAGCCTGGGCAACAGAGTGAGACTACATCAAAAAATAAAATAAAATAAAATAAAGAAAGAAAGAAAGGAAGGGAGAAAGTAAAGAAAAGAAAAGACAACCTGGATAATGGGATTGTCTGGAAGGGCCCACTCAAACCATAGATTCATGAGAAATAATGACTTGCTCTGGTAAGCCACTAAGTGTAGGGTAGTTTGTTATGCAGCAAAAGGTAACTAAACAGTTTGGGAGGGGGCCACGGTGGGGAGCTGAGGAGACAGCTCTTGGGCTATATAAAGCTTGTTATGAAGAGCAATAGGTCTGGGGTGGGCCTGCTCTATATTCATCTAAAATATCCTCTTTGGCAGGACAATATGAAGAAATTCTGGTATTATTGGCTTGGGTTGACCCTGGGTCCAGTGAATTGTTAGGATCATGACAATTTCCATCCTTCCTTGTCATCATTCCTGGCAAGATGGGTGACAACTGTCCCTTTTATAAAAGGGGTCTCTCACTTATCTCCTCTGTAGTCATTCATTTTTAACTCTACTTATCATATATGGTCGCAAATAAGCTTTGAAGTTCATACAATTGAGAACTTAACGTTGAGTCAAGCTCTGCTGCTTTCAAGAGTCAGATGTACCTTGCCTGGAACCTCAATTCTCACTGGTTTTGTATGTAGATAGTCAGTGAGGCTAATGCTGTGTTTACACTGGTGTAAATGAATGCTGATTCTAATAATTTTATCAGTTTAGAAAACATAACTTGTATTGGCCAGGCGTGGTGGCTCATGCCTGTAATCCCAGCACTTTGGGAGGCTAAGGTGGGTGGATTGCCTGAGCTCAGGAGTTCGAGACCAGCCTGGGCAACACAGTGAAACCCCGTCTCTACTAATATACAAAAATTAGCCGGGCATGATGGTGGATGCCTATAGTCTCAGCTACTCGGGAGGCTGAGGCAGGAGAATTGCTTGAACCCGGGAGGTGGAGGTTGCAGTGAGCCAAGATTGTGCCACTGCATTGCAGTCTGGGTGATAGAGCAAGACTCCATCTCCAAAACAACAACAACAACAACATACCATGTATCTCACTATGCATCTTACTACAACCCGCCAGTAAGTATCATTATCCCTATTTCCCAGAAGAAGATGCTGAATTTAAATAAAGGATTCCAGATTTTCCATTACTCAACATTATTTTTCATTTAGAAGCTCATTTATAAGCACTTCTAAATGTCAGTTCTATAACTTAGATAGGTATCTGGTTTCTGAAAACGAAATTTTGGGTTGAAATGTTTCAGGGAATTTTTTGTTTTATTGGCTGAAAGTGTGGCTTTAAAAAGGCAAATCGGCACCTTTCTCACAATCATAATATTGCAATTATTTTACATATATATGCACACACGTGTACACATGTATGTACATGTATACACACATACACACACAAAATCTGTAGCAGTTCTGAAAATATAGAAAGGTTTTGTTAGTGGACCATATGGGGCAGTGAATCTGCAGAAGTTGGTTAAATTATTTCAGCAGGCTTCCCTCACTAGGCATAATGGACTCAATAAAAGGAAGCGTTGCTGCCACAGATATGAGTCCCCTGCCCAGCTGGAAGTGCCACCTACCCTTTTGCTGCAGGCCATTCACTCCACGGAAAGTCCACCTACTCCCCTTGCCTGCCCAGTAACTTCTTTCAGGATGGGCCTCAGTATCACTTTAGGTTCCACTGACCACCAAAACTCCCAGCTGCTATTATTTGCCAGTCTAGACTACTACATAGAAATCACCTGGGGATTTTGTGAAACTGAAGATTCTGATTCAGTAGTTCTGGGGTGAGGCCCTAGAGTCTAATAAGTTCCCAGGTGACATCAATACTACTTGTTCCTGGACCACAGTGAGTAGCAAGGGTCTGGACCAGCATTTTCTAAAATGGGTTTTTGACACTTTATAAATTTAACCATGACAACAAACATTCATAAATGGAAAGATTTATTCCTAAACACTCCCTCAAAATACAGCTATAAATTCTAGGAAGTCTTATGTCAGTATCAGTAACTATCTTTGAACACTATCCTTTATTCCCTGGACTTTCCTTTCCATGGCGCTCTTCTGATGAAAAGTTTCCAACTTCTTAAATAAGAGGATGAATCTAACTAAATTCTTTTTGTATTCTTAATACAATGTTTATGCTTATTTCCTGATTTGATATGGAGTTAGAGTGACTCATCCTGGAGTCCTTGGCATGACAGAACTCAAGTTTCATCTTGTGCTTTGATTGCCAAAGAGTTAGCTGCAGCACTTGTTTATAAGTAAATTGTATTTACTTTACTCACTAAGTAAAAATCCAAATAATAAGATCCTATTCATTCACCCTGGGGGCAGCAAGAGGCACAAAGCCTATCCTAGAGGACAGGATACTTTGGAAACTGGTGGATGGTTTTTAAAAAGAGGTACCTTTCTGCTCATGGCACCTATGGTTAATTAGAAAAGAAAGAAAAAATTGCAATGACACAAGTGAGGATGGCTTCTCTTCCACAACCTCTTCACATGCAGGGATGGCAAGCCCAGGCAGAGAGGAGCTCATTTAAATTCCTGACCTTCCTTGTGCTCTCTGAAGTACAAGGAAGCTGGAGTAGCTGCGAGTAGCTGCAAGCAGCAGCAGCCACAGCCTCTGGGTTGTTTCCTGACATTCTGGGACAGCTGACAAAGCTGTACATCAAAGGTAGGAGCAGAGACTTGGGGGCAGGCCAAATTAGACAGGAATTTTAGCTCTGTTGGATGATTTGGGGCAAGTTGCTCACTTTCCTAAACCTGTACAATGGGGATAATAGTATCATCTGCTAGGACTACTGAGAGGATTACATGTGATAATGTACATAAAAGATTCAGCAGTGCAAGGATGGGGAAGCTGCTGATTGTATTAATACTATCAAGTATTAATGAATGGTAGCTATTCTTTGTATTAGTATTCATACTATTAATCTCTGCTGGGAATGTCTCAACAGCCAGCAGCCAGCTAGCCCAGTCTTGGGGTCTCTCATTTACCTCCCTCTTCCCGCGCTATCAAGAAGCTTGGGTGGAGGTGGCCTGCCAGGTATTGAGATCTAAAGGGCAGGCTGGATTTAAGACCTCAGAGAACACAGCCACAATGAAAGGCAAGTGATGTGTCAGACAGGTCTCAGCAAGTTCAAAAACCAACACAAACATGAAGTCAAGTATGGAGCTGGTTTTTTCATTCAGAGGAGACTCACAGATGTGTTGGGGAAGCCTGGGCAGGGGTGAGCAGGGTGCCTCTGTAGTGCCCACTTATATTTGTAGATGTAATATGGGGGTGGCTAGTGCCATCCTCAGGTCCACAAATTATGCCTCCATCTCCTTGCTATCATTTTCTCAACATTGCTCATGGTTGCTGAGACTGAAGAGGTGACAATGAATCAAATCTGGGTTCAGATCATGTCTCTGCCCCTTTTTCAATTATGTGACTTTGGGGAATTTATCTCTTTGTTTCATTTGGTTTCATCAACTGTGAAATTAGGATTATTCACCTACACTTCAACGTTGTTCATAACTAGAATTGCAAGATTTTGACAACAAAACTATAGGACACATAGTTAAATCTGAATTTCAGATATAACCAACAAATTATTTTTAGTACAAATTTATTTTTTGGTTATTCTAGTTAGCAATTCCTCTAACCTTTTTTCAAGGTTCTTAGCTTTCTTGCATTGGGTTAGAACATGCTCCTTTAGCATGTTTTTTGCTTTTTATTGTTACTCACCTTCTGAAGCCTACTTCTGTCAATTCGTCCAATTTATTCTCCATCCAGTTTTTTCCTTGCTGGCGAGGTGTTGTGATCCTTTGGAGGAGAAGAGGCGTTCTGGTTTTTGGAATTTTCAGCCTTTTTGCACTGGTTTCTCCCCATCTTTGTGGATTTATCTACCTTTGGTCTTTGATGTTGGTGACCTTTGGATGGGGTTTCTGAGTGGATGTCCTTTTTGTTGATGTTGATGCTATTCCTTTCTGTTTGTTAGTTTTTCTTCTAACAGCCAGGCTCCTCTGCTACAGGTCTGCTGGAGTTTGCTGGAGGTCCACTCCAGACCCTGTTTGCTTGTATCACCAGCAGAGGCTGCACAACAGCAAAAAAATTGCTGCCTGTTTCTTCCTCTGGAAGCTTTATCCCAGAGTGGCATTCATCAGATGCCATCTGGAGCTCTCCTATATGAGGTGTCTGTTGGCCCCTGCTGTGAAGTGTCTCCCAGTCAGGAGACACGGGGTCAGGCATCCACTTGAGGAAGCAGTCTGACCCTTAGCAGAGGTGGAGCAATGTGCTGGGAGATCTGCTGCACAGAGCTAGCATGCAGGGACATTTAAATCTACTGAAGCTGTACCCACAGCTGCCCCTTCCCCCAGGTGCTCTGTCCTAGGGAGATGGGAGTTTGATCTATAAGCCCCTGACTGAGGCTGCTGCCTTGTTTTCAGAGATGCCCTGCCCAGACAGGAGGAATCTAGAGAGGCAGTCTGGCCACAGCGGCTTTGCCAAGCTGTGATGGGCTCCACCCAGTTCACATTTCCTGGCGGCTTTGTTTACACTGTGAGGAGAAAACCGCCTACTCAAGCTTCAGTAATGGTGGACGCTTCTCCTGCCACAAAGCTCCAACGTCCCAGGTCGACCCCAGACTGCTGTGCTCGCGGTGAGAATTTCAAGCCAGTGGGTCTTAGCTTGCTGGGCTCCATGGGGGTGGGATCTGCTTAGCTAGACCACTTGACTCCCTGGCTTCAGCCCCCTTTCCAGGGGAGTGAATGGTTCTGTCTTGCTGGTGTTCTAGGTGCCACTGGGGTATGAAAAAAACTCCTGCAGCTAGCAGGACCAGATGTATTCACAGCTGAATTCTACCAGAGGTACAAAGAGGAGCCGGTACTGTTCCTTCTGAAACTATTTCAAACAATAGAAAAAAAGGGACTCCTCCCTAATGCATTTTATGAGGCCAGCATCATCCTGATACCAAAACCTGGCAGAGACACAACAAAAAAAGAAAACTTCAAGCCAATGTCCCTGATAAATATTGATGCGAAAATCCTCAATAAAATACTGGCACACTAAATCCAGCAGCACATCAATATCTTATCCACCATGATCAAGTCGGCTTCATCCCTGGGATGAAAGGCTGGTTCAACATACACAAATCAATAAACGTAATCCATCACATAAACAGAACCAATGACAAAAACCACATGATTATCTCAATAGATGCAGAAAAGGCCTTCAATAAAATTCAACACCCCTTCACACTAAAAACTCTCAATAAACTAGGTATTGAGGGAACGTATCTCAAAATAGAAGAGCTATTTATGACAAACCCACAGCCAACATCATACTGAATGGGCAAAAGCTGGAAGCATTCCCTTTGAAAACCGCCACAAGATAAGGATGCCCTCTCTCACAACTGATATTCAATATAGTATTGAAAGTTCTGGCCAGGGCAATCAGGCAAGAGAAAGAAATAAAGGGTATTCAAATAGGAAAAGAGGAAGTCAAATTTTCTCTGTTTGCAGATGACATGATTGTATATTTACAAAACCCCATCGTCTCAGTCAAAAATCTCCTTAAGCTGATAAACAACTTCAGCAAAGTCTCAGGATACAAAATCAAAGTGCAAAAATCACAAGCATTCCTATACACAAATAATAGACCAACAGAGAGCCAAATCATGAGTGAACTCCCATTCACAATTGCTACAAAGAAAATAAAATAGCTAGGAATACAACTTTCAAGGGATGTGAAGGACCTATTCAAGCAGAACTACAAACCAGTGTTCAAGGAAATAAAAGAGGACACAAACAAATAGAAAAACATTCCATGCTCATGGATAGGAAGAATCAATATTGTGAAAATGGCCATACTGCCCAAAGCAATTTATAGATTCAGTGCTATATCCCCATCAAGCTACCTTGACTTTCTTCACAGAATTACAAAAAACTACTTTAAATTTCATATGGAACTGAAAAAGGGCCCACAGAGCCAAGACAATCCTAAGCAAAAAGAACAAAGCTGGAGGCATCATGCTACCTGACTGCAAACTATACTACAAGGCTACAGTAACCAACACAGCATGGTACTGGTACCAAAACAAATATATATATCAATAGAACAGAACAGAGGCCTCAGAAATAACACCACACATCTTCAACCATCTGATCTTTGACAAACTTGACAAAAACAAGCAATGGGGAAAGGATTCCCTATTTAATAAATTGTGCTGGGAAAACTGGCTAGTCATATTCAGAAAATTGAAACTGGACCTTTTCCTTACACCTTACATACAAATTAACTCAAGATGGATTAAAGAATTAAATATAAGACCTAAAACCATAAAAAACCCTAGGAGAAAACCTAGGCAATACCATTCAGGACATAGGCAGGGACAAAGACTTCATGACTAAAACACTAAAAGCAATGGCAACAAAAGCTAAAATTTACAAAAGAGATCTAATTAAACTAAAGAGCTTCTGCACAGCAAAAGAAGCTATCACCAGAGTGAATAGGCAACCTACAGAATGGAAGAAAATGTTTGCAATCTATTTATCTGACAAAGGGCTAATATCCAGAATCTACAAAGAACTTAAACAAATTTACAAGAAAAAAAAACCATCAAAAAATGGGTGAAGGATATGAACAGACGCTTCTCAAAATAAGACTTTTATGCAGCCAACAAACATATAAAAAGAAGCTCATCATCACTGGTCATTAGAGAAATGTAAATCAAAACCACAATGAGATATCATCTCACTCCAGTTAGAATGGCAATCATTAAAAAGTCAGGAAACAACAGATGCTGGAGAGGATATAGAGAAATAGGAATGCATTTACACTGTTGGTGGGAGTGTAAATTAGTTAATCCATTGTGGAAGACAGTGTGGCAATTCCTCAAGGATGTAGAACCAGAAATACCATTTGACCCAGCAATCCCATTACTGGGTTTATACGCAAAGGATTATAAATCATTCTACTCTAAAGACATATGCACATGTATGTTTATTGCAGCACTGTTTATAACAGCAAAGACTTGGAACCAACCCAAATGCCCATCAATGATAGACCGGATAAAGAAAATGTGGCACATATATACCATGGAATACTATGCAGCCATAAAAACAGATGAGTTCATGTCCTTTGCAGGGACATGGATGAAGTTGGAAACCATCATTCTCAGCAAACTAACACAGGAACAGAAAACCAAACACCTCATGTTCTCACTCATAAGTGGTTGTTGAACAATGAGAACACATGGATACAGGGAGGGGAACATCACACACTGGGGCCTGTTGGGGGATGGGGGGCTAGGGCAGGGATAGCATTAGGAGAAATACCTAATGTAGATGATGGGTTGATGGGTACAGCAAACCACCATGGCATGTGTATATCTATGTAACAAACCTGCACGTCCTGCACATGTACCCCAGAACTTAATGTATAATTTAAAAAAAGACGAGATGGGTAGATCACGAGGTCAGGAGATCAAGACCATCCTGGCTAACACAGTGAAACCCTCTCTCTACTGAAAAATACAAAAAATTAGCTGGGCATGGTGGCAGGCACCTGCAGTCCCAGCTACTCGGGAGTCTGAGGCAGGATAATGGCGTGAACCAAGGAGGTGGAGCTTGCAGTGATCCGAGATTGCACCACTGCACTCCAGCCTGGGCGGCAGAGTGAGACTCTGTCTCAAAATAAAAAAAAAGAAAAAAATTACCCAATCTGTTGATAGCTTTAACTTATAAAATGTCTTATTATTGAAAACATGGAGAATATGAAAATGTAGAAAGAAAGAAATCACACATGGTTTTACCACTCAGTAATCATCATTGTTAATATTCTGAAGTATGTTTTTTGAGGTGTTTTTTCATAAAGTGGTTTAATGGGGATACTTAAAAGTTGCTAGGTGGGGGTTCTCTGTGCATTTTCCCTTCAGTGGCATTTAAGAAAAGTGCTGCTGGCATTCCATCCACTCATTTTCATCTCTTCCATATCCTTCTTTCTTACTGCTTCTCTTGAAAAATTGCATTCTTTTCTTTATTTTTTTTTCTTTTTGCCTTTAAGGGATGTTACAGTCTTGCCAGTGCACCACAATGTAGCAATCTCTCATTTTGAGGTATCACCCAGAGCTCTTTGTCTCAGGACTAAGAAAATTAAGAAGCATGGACACAAAGGGTGAGGTTGGAGCAAAAGTTTAATAAAGTTTAATAAGCAAAGAAGAAAGCTCTCCACCACTGAGAAGGGGCCTGGAAGAGAGTTGCCATTTTTACAGTTGAATGCAAAAGCTTTTATAAAAGAGGATAGCTGGGCATTTCATCTGCATAAAGCATGAATTTCTGCTAGCTCCACCCTGTCCTCCTAGTGTACATGTGGGCCCTTAGCTTGAGGTACTCCAAATTGCTTTGTTCCCCAAAGTATGTGTGAGGGGGGCAGAACTTTGCTGAGCATGTCTGGACAAGTCACCTGTGAAGCCTTTCTTATCTGTGTGGCTGTGGCCATGTCTTAGGCAAGCCGCCCTGTGCAAGTTCCCTTATATGTGCCTTCAGGCTGTTCTTTTGTTTGAAAGAATTCAACCAATGACCCACTTTAACTGCCTCCCTGACCTCTTTCTTCCTTTCTCCTGTCTTATTTCCCTCCTCAAGGGTGGAGACCCTAACTGGTCTTAGGGGGAATGGGGTGATGATTCTTCTAGCTACTTCCTACTGGAAAGGGGCACTGCATGGGGAACAGCAGCTAGGGTTTCTCCTGGGGCTGGTCTAAGGATTCCTGGAAGAAAGGCATATCCATGTATTGTTTCATTTGCATTACCATTTGGAGTTTGATAGTCTTTAGGCAAGAAGAAACAATTTGGGTTATTAGAGGAAACAAGCAGGGGATAAGCACAGCTTAAAAATCCCAAGGCTGCTGACATGTACAGATAACTGGTGGCCACAGTTATGCCCACTAAGATTTGAGTGCAAGGGGCTTGGCTTTGGTTAACTTCCTTGGTTTTATTTTCCCAAAGAAACCTCTGGGTTATGGGTACCCTATTTACTCCCATCACCTGACAGGATTTGTAGGATAATTGCCAAGAACTAGAATATTCAGATTTGTACATCACCCATCCCTTTTTGCACTTTCTGAGCTGCAGCCAGAGATTGCTGGTTGGCTTATAGGAATAAGCAGGATTAGTTTAAAATGTAGGCAAAAACTTAAAAACAATCAATGAGATTAGAATTAATGACAAGCATATGATATGTTTTGAAACATAATTTTTCTGTCTCTACTCATTTTTGTTAAAAAAACAAATCATGATAGGACTGAGTTGTTTGCAAAATCAACTTTAGTTTTATACTTGGCCTGATTATTTGTACAAAGCACAGCAAGAATAATTATTTTTACATAGGTTTTTATATTATCTTTGATGAAACTGTTCCACAGGAATCTCAGAACTTTTTAAAGCTGAGCCCAGCCATGGGTTTGTACCCTCAAATACCTATGAGTTGGGTGAATTCCTCTCTCCTTGAGGTCCTAAGAACATGGTGTTCCTGGGCCTGTAGAAAGTGATATTCTTTACTCACCACAGGTTAGGAACCCTGTTCGGGGGCTGTGTAGACAAAGTATGAGGCAGTTTTCCCAAGGGGCTTTTATTGGCTCTGCAAGTCAAGCTCGATTCCTTAAAGGGAAGCACAGCCTTTAGTCAAAACCTTGAGAAAACAACCAGTTTCTCCAATTGTGTCCTCTTGTAAAAGAAAATGATTCTCATTGTGCTGATGCAAATAATTATATTGCCATGAGTTAAGAATACTCACAAATACTTTCCAAGTTCTAGAGGAACCAGAGAGAAACAAATAAATATGCTCTGAATTTTATTTACAGAAGTATACCTTACATAATTATTAGAGGCTATAAATAGCTTAAAATAAGTTTCCTTGACTCTGAAAAACAAAATAAGGATCAGCAACATTTTAAGCAAAAAGGTTAAAAAGTCCATTTTGTTAACTCTTGTTTTGCTTGATATTCATGAATATTTTAGCTCTTCATGAGTCCTGTACATTTTTCCTTTATTCCAATGTCATAATCTCCAAAGTTATCAGAAACTTGCATTTGAGAGCATGTGTCAAAGTCCTATAGCTGATTATAAACCATCCTTTAAAGAGGATTAAAACAAGACGATTTTGAATGGTGAAATGTCCAAGGTAGTTAGTCAAGAACATGACTGACAAATTTTATTATTTCTGTGTTTTACAATAACTTAACATAATAACCTTAATTATGATTTCTAGCATATACTCAGACATTAGAATTTTAGAAATCCCATACAATTTTGGAAAATATATTAATATTATTCACTAAAATATAACCTGAAGATCATTAAACACCATTTGGCCAATCCCATGTACCTAAACATGTTAAATAATCCTGTTTACCTCTCTTCTGGATGCTTCAGGGGCCTTCTGTAGCATCCAAAAGCTAGGGGTCAAGAGAGACAATTTTGAAACTGAAGTTTGATTTTGGGAAGTAAATGTTAGAGGTTCAAAACACTTAATATTACAAAATACAATTCCAGATTACCATAAGTTATTTATTTTGCCAAAATTAGGACTCAGAAACTTTAAGACAAGGCAAAAACCTTTATTCATTAAGAGGGAAGATTTAGCTTTCCAAACAGTTTGTCTCCTGTCTTCTCATTCTTCTCCCTGGCAGTTTATCTGCAAGGCAAATAAAAAATTTTCATTATCCTTCACTATTACATGAAAATCTTGTGCAAGGGAGAGAAAGCCAAATTTTACTCTTACATTGGTTTTAAAACAATCCTTTATCCCTAGGCAAGATTTACATTTCTATATCTTTTTACAATCTTTTACCACAAACACATTTTACTGTTCTTACACACCTTTCATGTAAATCTATTTTTCGTAGTCTCATTTACATGTTATAATGGTAACTCTTGGCAATTTTTAACTTTAATGTAAAACTGGTACATTGTTTTAATTATGTACTAGGCCCAGATAAGGTCTGACTTTTTCCAGCATAGTTAGGGGTGGGGTTAATCTTGTATGTACCCAGGCCTTACCAACTTGTAAAGCAGGCAGTTTACAACCTTGAAACATTTAGCAAACCTAGTATCTGACTTACATGATTTAGGCCACCTATTTACATTTTGACATCTGCATTTTACCAATTATTTTTAAAACTATTTTTATTTCTTAAAGATTAAAGTTATGTGAACTAAAAGGCATTACAGCTTTTATATTTCCTTTAAAAAATTTGATTTAAGCACTTATTTTTCTTTAAGCCAATCAATTAGAGCTCTTTTTATAGGCATCACACACAATACATATATAACTACACAAGCAAACAGAAGCAGATCCAGTATTTATCAGATATTTTTGTTCATCAATCTCCTAATTGAATTATTGGCCTCTGGGTGGTGCTGTTTAAGAGCAGGGCTAGGAAAGCATGCAGTTTCTAGGGTCTAATAAACAGGTATGCTGGAGGACAAAAACAGATTTTGAGAGGGATCTACCTGCCTCTAATTCCTGCGGTTTCATGAGGAAAATGGAGGTTTCTCCCAAAATGGAACCTGTGGTGCCTTTTCATTTTTTTCCCAAGGAGTCCCAGGCCATCAGAAATTATCTTAGGGCCTCTCATGCATGCATTAAGAGTGGCAAAACAAAGTGGAGAAAAAGAATTCAGTTGACTGAGAAAAAAACCTGTTCCAGAAAAACAAGATCCAAGAAGAGAAAAACATAAAGGCCTTGTACATATACTTGTAGATTGGATATCCAGTTTTAATTAAGCTAAGCACTCTTTAAGAAAATCCTTTTAAATCTCATGTTACCTAATTTTAGCCACATCAAATAATTAACATTTCTGGTTTTTGAACTTTACCAAAAGTAACCTAACAGGTGAAATCAAGAAGCCTCAATTAAGGTTATGATTTAACCATGAGTGTACAAGGTACTTTCAAAGGGGTGGTAAGCAGCTTTTGAAACCACCATTGCAAAATTGTAACTGAGATAGTAAAAGAAATCTGACCTAACCAACTCCATCTTGCGTCTAGCCTCCCAGCTGTCCTTGTTCATTCCTGGGCATAGGCTGAACCAACTCTGGGAGGAACTTATAGTTTATAGTCCAAAACAAAAACAATAATAGCCCTTTCCCAAAACAAACCTCCTTCTTGCCTGGGGGACCAGAATGCTTTTGTAGAACCAAGAAACCAGCCACAAGATTAGAAACTATGGGTTAGGAGTCATGTAGCTAGAGGCCACAGATTCTGACCCTCCCTAAACTGCTCCTAAGATCAGCATTTCAGATATTCTGCAGACCCTGCACTTGATGGATCAGCTGGCACCACTCAGAATGATAAACTGGCTCATCTGATCTTGTGACCCCAAACCAGGAACTGACTCAGCACAAGAAGGTAGCCTCAACTCCCTGTGATTTTATCTCTGATTTGACCTATCAGCACTCCCAGCTCACTGGCCTCCCTCTATCAACCAGCCATCCTCAAAAACTCTGCTCCACAAATTCTCAGGGAGAGAGACCCAAGCAATAACAGAACTCCATCTCCTGCACAGCCAGTCCCACATGAATCACCCCCTCTCCACTGCAATTTCCCCATCCTGATAAATCAGCTCTGTCTAGGCAGCGGGCAGGGTGAACCCATTGTGTGGTTACACTTTTACAAAATCTAGAACCTTTAAAGGAAACTCAGAGAAGGAAGATTTAAGAAAGGAGCTAGAAGTTGTTCATGGAGGGGAAGAGAATGAGCAAATGGCAAAAGTCACACAGCTATTAACTTGCAAGTATTCATTCCCCAAGCCAGGATTGAACCTGGGCTGCCATTGTAAAATGGCAGAGTCTAAAACAAAGTACTGCCATGTGGTTATAGGTCAAAATGTAAAACAAGATGGAGTCCTGCAGCAAAGCTTGTAACTGACCAGTTTACCAGGCTAGATTGAACTGCAAGCTTATGGAGTCCCAAGCCTGCATTCCATTCTAAGATACCCCTCTCTCTACCTTTTCCCTCAATTGAATCAGGAGACAGGGAGGTGTGTTTCACTAAAGACTCTCTCAGCCTTTCCAAAAAGGCTAAGGGATTTTCATCTAGTTATTGATCTATCATGGAAAGTTTGGAGTAATTAAGAGGCTTGGCTCTGGTCCTCCCTAAGCCCTCTAATATGCACATTTGAAAATGTTTTAATTTGCACTCATCTAAGGTATCACTGGGGTCTCAATTAGGTTGTTTAAGAGACACTGCCTCTCTTCCTACTAGGAATGGGGATTCTGTCTCTTTCTCAACCTTTCCCTTTTTGACTGGCTTTCCTTTTTGACTGGCTATAGGAGACAAGCTGTTTGTCTCTGAATTTCTCTGCTACCTGTAGGGCTGCCTGTTTCTCAGCAGCAGTTAGGGTTTGATTTAAGAGTACATCACATCCTTCCAGGAGACTTTAAATACTTGGGATAAATCCTGGAAGGCCTCTATATGTGAGTGATGTTGGGGCTTTCCCAGAGTGAACTGTAGGGTCTAAGGTTTAAAGAAGATCCAGGCTGCACTCAAGGGGAGTGCAGGCTTGAAGATGGGTTGTTACCTATCTAGGAAAGAGGGGAGAAGAAGTCTCCTTCCTCCTTTCGGAGTGACCCAGAGTGGCGAGAAAGACAAAAAGGACATCCCCATTCTCCTCTTCCCTCCTGTCTCCTCTGGGTCCTGGCAACCATCATAGGTGCCATGCATGGATGCAAGCATGACCTTCACCCATGGATCTGGAGGAGCTAGTCAGCAGGAGTAGCCATGTTTACCTGTGTGATACCCTAGCTCTCTGCCCTGCTAATTTCCTAGATCCAGTTGGCCCATAAGGCTCCGGGGGTACCCCAGGGGCTCAGAAGAGACTGTATGGTAGTTGAATTTGGGCAAGGCCCTTTAAAGGGGGGAGTGTCTTAAATCTATCCCTTACATCCTCTTACTACCACCCAGGCAAAGTTATAAATTCCTAAAGAATGGGACCAATTGACTTCTAAACATAAGATCCCTTTCTCACTTAGATGCCAATATAGCTGGATGCAGAATAGATGCCTCAAAATAACATAAGAATTGACTGGCCATCCTCCCTCTGATGATTTTAGCACTGAGGCTAAAATCTGTCTTGCTAGAGTAGCTTTCTCCTGGCTGCTGAAAGGGGAGTTATTCTGATTACAAATAGGCCATAGGGACTGATTACTGGGAGAGGGATGTAAGAGGGAAAGGAATCAGGGAACTAGAGTTTCGGGGCAAAGGGCTGACAAGGCTCCCCACAGAGAAAAATCCCATCCCACTAGGTGGTGCCGTAGGGTTTGAAATGTTAGGGAAAAACTGACTTTCCAAGCAGAGGTTAGAAAGAGAGGTTTGGGGCTTAATAGGCTGTCCCCATAATATGCCTCCTAGCAAGAAAAACTTAACTTGTCTTATAAAGGAACTGCTTAAACTCACTGGACGGTTCTGAGCTCTTACACTGAGAAAAAACAACCCAAATGGAGAGGAGGGTATTCACTCAGGGTAAAATATCCTCCCACACAGTGCCATGAATGCTTATTATTAGGGGAAAAGAAAGCCTTTAATAGGTGAAAGTCTAGACTGAAATATTGAAATTCCCCCATCTCAAGGAAATCACAGAAGCAGCAATTTTTTTGAGTTACATTCCTGGTTACTAAGGCACTTGCTAACTTTACCCAACAAGATTATCTCCCCAGGCTTTAAAAAGTCCCTTAACACAGCATGCGAAGAAGGGATAGCAGATATGATAGCCATGAAAAGAAAGGAAGGAAATGCGATAGAAAAGTCTGGAAGTCCTGATGCCGATACCCTGATGGGCTGTTGGGGGCCAGAGTTAATCCAGGGGTCTTCAGGTAACACCGAGGTGTAGCCCCAACCAGATGTCTTCAGTTGCCCCAGGGTCTCCTTCTGTTACTTGGGGGGTCTTTGTTCTTAGAGCTCCCAAGATGGTGGTGGGCAGCTCCCAAGATGGAGGGGGGCGCTCCCAAGATGGAGGGGGGCACTCCCAAGATGGTGGCAAGCCTTTTGTTCTCTGTCCTGGGGTTCTTGGCCTCATAGATTCCAAAGAATGGAACCTTGGGCCATGTGGTGAGTGTTATAGCTCTATTAGAAGCCATGGATCACGGAAGAGAACTATGGAACCCAGCGACTAGTGTTAGGACAAACCTGGGCACTTAGCCGTGCAGGAACAATGGCGAGCCTCTAGCCCAGTTGGGAGTGGCAATGGGCGTCTCACTGGATCAGAAGTGCAGCAGACACCCTGCTGGATCCAGAGGGGTGGAAGTCAGCGGCTAGCCTGTGACGGTGAGCAATAGCTTAGCTTGAGCTGGAACAAACACGGACGAGAAGAATGTGCAGTTGCAAGATTTAATAGAGTGAAAACAGAGAGAGCTCTGATACAACGGGAGGGGATGTAAAGGGGGTTGCCCAATCCAGCTTGAATGTCTGGGTTTATATCCTGATCATTGTCCTTTCCCCTATGCTCTCAGGTGGTAGATGATTTGATTATTTCTTTACCTCCTGCTTTTAGCCTAATTGGTATTTTAGTGAGCTCTCTTTACTACCTGATTGGTTGGGTGTGAGCTGAGTTACAAGACCCACGTTTAAAGGTGGGTGTGGTCACCTTCCCCAGCTACACTTAGGAATTCTTAGTCGGCCTAGGAAATCCAGCTAGTCCTGTCTCTCACTTCCAGTCCCATAGATGGCTAGGTCCTCTGTGAAAGGAAACTGGATTGGAACAGAGCCAACATTCCCACCACATGAGGGCAATCGGGGATTGACAAAGTCCTCTAAAGCAAGCCTGTCCCCTGAGTCTTGTAAGGCTGGCAGCCACTCTAAAAGCTTTTAACTGGCTGACAGGGGCCCAGTGTTTTGTTTAACTTTTTAAAATGGGGTGAAAAGCCTCAGAAATGAAAGTAGAGTTGGAGGTCCACTCCTACTCATTCTTCTGATCTTTCCTTTCCCAGCCAATGCACCAAAATGTTAGTCTTGCCAATGCACCACAATGTAGAAGTCTCTCACTGTGAGGTATCACCCAGAACTCTTTGTCTCAGGATCAAGAGAATTAACGAGCATGGACACAAAGGGTGAGGTTGGAGCAAAAGTTTAATAAGCAAAAGAAGAAAGCTCTCCACCACCAAGAGGGGGCCTGGAAGAGGGTTGCTGTTTTTACAGTTGAATGCAAAGGCTTTTATAAGAAACTGATGATAGCTGGACATCTCATCTGCATAAGGCATGAATTTCTGGTAGCTCCACCCTGTCCTCCTAGTGCACATGCGGGCCCTTAGCTTGAGTTACTCCATATTGCTTTGTTCCCCTTACTGTGCCTGTGTTAGGGGATGGAATTTTCCATTGTGGGCTTGTCTGGGCAAGTCACCTGTTTAGCCTTTCTTATCTGTGCAGCTGTGGGCACGTCTTAGGCAAGCCCCCCCTGTGTAAGTTCCCTTATCTGAGCCTGCAGGCTGTTCTTTTGTGTGAAAGAATTCAACCAAGGACCCCCCCTAACTGCCTGTCTGACTGGTTTCTTCCTTTCTTCAATCTCAGTGACACCAACAGGATTGAAGCATTATTTAGTCTCACTGATATTTGAGGACCAAGATGTTGATGATCATCATGCTGTCAGAAATCACTAATGTTTAATATATTTATGATATAAGGCTCAATAATTAGATGAAAGTCAAAATGAACCACTTTTGCAAAAATTATAGCAGTGAGAAAATTATGGCAGTGAAAGAGATCTGATTTAACCAACCCCCAACTTACTTTTAGCTGCCCTTAATTATTACTGGGCTTAGGTCAAGATAACTTTGAGAGACATTCAGTTTATAGTTTAAATGATAATAGCCCTTCTCCAAAATGCAACTGCCTTAAAGCTAATGAGAGAACACCAGACTAGGAGGACAGAGGTGCCTGAATTCTGCTAAGGTGTAGACATAAACCAGCCATTATTCTGGAGGTCACAAAATATGCAACTTCCCCAATTATTCCTGCAGAGAACATCACTATTGTAGAACCTAAGTTTGGCCTTTTGAGATTTTTTTTCCAGGATTTTTGGCAAGTCTATCGACAAGTGGCTCCACCTGGATCAGCCAACTACTCCTGTGGCCCCACTCAGAAGGGACACAGAGCAAAAGGACAGCTTCTGCTCCCTATGATTTCATCTCCAACCCAACTAATCAGCACTCCCTATACCCTAGCCCCCTGCTCACCAAACTACCTTTGAAAAGCCCTCACCTAAAAGCCTTGAATGAGATTGATTTGAGTAATAACTCTGTCTCTGACGTGGCATCGCCAGCATCAAAGTCCTTCTTTACTGTAATGCCATGGTCTCTGTGAGTTGATTTTGTTTGTGCGGTGGGCAGAAAGAACCTGTTGGATGGTTACAGAAATAGGCTATTTCAAGTAACTGACTATATGTTGCTAGTGTTTTTCTATTAATGTTATATACGGAGATAAATGATACAAATCTCTCTAGTCTTTCTCATTCAAATTAGTGAAGTTTGTTGAAGCTCCCCTTCTTCAGGAGATGTGGGAGGACTTTTTCTCTCACATAATTCACTAGGCTACCAATGGTAACTCATTTGAATTCTGTTCTATCGCCAGACAGTAATAGCAGCTCAGGTTAGTATTTATGTGAACATTTTTTCCCTGTTCTGTTAAAAAAAACCATGTATTTCAAGGCTCTGTTGTAAACAGGTTGACTTTAAATTAAATGTTCTTGTTAATCATTTAAGGAGAATCATTAAGTTATGACTGCCCTTTGGAACACAAATGTTTATTTAAGTTCAGTATTCTGCTTCCCTAGAAATAGGATTTCTATACTCTTTCAGACGAATATTTGGTAAAATGACTTGGCTGCTTCTATATTTAAACTTCCTTTTGAAATGAAAATTTGTTCCAACATGGATTCTAAAGGTTCAGCAAAACTGCTCATGAATGACTGGTTTTAGAAGCATCTTTTGATGTTTTAGAAATTTCTGTTAAGGCCAGGCACTGTGGCTCACACCTGTAATCCCAGCACTGGGAAGCTGAGGCAGGAGGATCACTTGGGCCCAGGAGTTTGAGACAAGCCTGGGCAACATAGGGAAACCTGGTTTCTACAAAAAATATATTTTTAAAATTTTTATTTTGTCCTGCAAGCAAGTTTAAAAAAAAATGAATTTATAAAATTAGCTGTGTGTGGTTTTGCATATGTATGGTCCCAGGTGGGGCCACGGAGTTTGAGGCTACAGTGAGGTATGTGGTGCCACTGCACTTGAGCCTGGGCAATAGAACAAGACTGTCTCAAAAAAAATTAACAAAAAAATTTTTATTAATTAGTTAACTCTCGAATCAAGAATATTCAAAACCTGTATTTTACAGATTCAAAATCTGTAAAATGTGGCTTATCTTTTTTCTTTAAGATATGTAGGCTGCTTTTTTTCTATTTTTTGAACATCCTTTTATTCTCCTAAAAGTTTTCTCTTTTCCATAAAATTAAATTTACTGTTGAAATTGCATCCTTCTATAAATTCAGATTGTTTATAAATATGGGTTTGGAAATTAGCCCGTTTAAATTTGAAATTATTTTATCTTGTATTTTTAAAACTAAAAAATAAGAATGTTGTGAGAAACAGAAACAAAAATTTTGCAGATGCCTATATTTAATATTTTTTCATTATGAAATTAAGATATAATTTACACATCATAGCATTTACCCTCTTGGTTATACATTCAGTAGTTTTAAAAATATATTCACAAATTTGGCCAATAGTCACTAATATCTAATTCTGGAATATTTTAATTAATCCAGAAAGAAACGGCATACTCATTAGCAGTCACTCACCATTCCACCCTCCTCTCAGTTTTCTGTTCCTATGGATTTACTTACTTTAGATGTTTCATAGAAATGGAATCTTACAATGTGACTTTTTGAGTTTGGCTTCTTTTACTTATTGTATTATTTACAAGGTAAATGCGTGTTGTAGCATGTATCAATACTTTGCTCCCTTTTGTGACTCAATAATGTTCCATTGTATGGATATACCAAAATTTGTTTATCTATCTGTTTATGGTCATTTGGGTTGTTTCTACCTGTTGCCTATTGTGACTAGTACTGCAGTGGATATTTCTGTACAAGTATTTGTATGAGTGCCTGTTGAATTCCTTGAGTGTACAGACCTAGGAGTGGAATTGCTGGGCCATACATTCTACATTAACATTTTGAGGAATTGCCCATTTTTTCCATAGAAGCTGCACCATTTTACTTCCCACCAGCAATATATAAGGATTCCAATTTCTTCACATCTATAACTAGACCATCCTCTCTAACACTTACTTTACTTTTTCTAATACCCATCCTAGGTATGAAGCAGTATCTCATTGTGGTTTGGATTTGCAGTCCCTTAGTGACAAATGACATTGCTCATCTGTCATCTGCTTGTTGGACATTTGTCTATCTTCTTTAGAGAAATGTCTTTTCAAGTCCTTTGCCAATTTTTATAATCAGGTTATTTGTATTTTTGCTGTTGATTTGTAAGAGTTTCTTTTCATATATTCTAGATATTAGAGCCTTATTTCAGTGGTCCTCAACCTTGTGGGAACCAAGAACTGGTTTCGTGGAAGACAATTTTTCCATGGGTCGGGGCTGGGGAGGATGGTTTCAGGATGAAACTGCTCCACCTCAGATCATCAGGCATTAGATTCTCTCTCATAAGGAGTGCACAACCTAGACCCCTTGCATGCACAGTTCACAATAGGGTTTGCACTCCTGTAAGAATCTAAAACAACCACTGTTCTGCCACGAGGCAGAGCTCAGGCAGTAATACTTGCTCCACTGCTTACCTCCTGCAGTGTGGCCAAGGTCCTAATGGGCCATGGACAGATACTGGTCCATGGCTTTGGGGTTGGAGACCCCTGTCTTATTTTATATATCATTAGAAAATATATATTTTCCCACTGTGTACGTATTTTTTTATTTTTAATTTTTGTGGGTAGGTGCATATAATTTATAGCATACATGAGAAATTTTGATACAGGCATTCAACGCCTAAAAATTACATCGGGGTAACTGGGGTATCCATCACCTCAAGCATTTATCATTTTTTTGTGTTACAAACATTCCAATTATACTCTTATTTTTTAATGTACGATATATTATTTGTTGACTGTAGTAACCTTGTTGTGTTATCAAATACTAGATATTATTCATCCTATCTGTGTTTGTACCCATTAACCATCCCCACTACTCCCTCACCCCTACTACCCTTACCTGCCTCTGATAACCATCCTTCTACTTTCTATCTCCATAAGTTCAACTGTTATAATTTTCAGCTCCCATGAATAAGTGAAAATATGGGAAGTTTGTCTTTCTGTGCCAGGCTTATTTCCCTTAACATAATGACCTCCAATTCCAATTCCATCCGTGTTGTTGCAGATGATGGGATCCTATTCTTTTTTATGGCTAAATAGTACTTCATTGTGTACCACATTTTTCAATCCATTCATCTGTTGATGGGCACTTAGGAAGCAATTTAAGTTGCTTCCAAATCTTAGCTATTGTGAATAGTGCTGCAATAAACATTGGATGCAGACATCTCTTTGATATACTGATTTCCTTTCTTTTGAGTATATACCTAGCAGTGAGATTGCTGGATCATATGGTATTTCTGTTTTTAATTTGAGGAACCTCCATACTATTCTCCATTGTGGCTGTACTAATTGACATTCCCACAAACAAGGTACAAGAGTTCCATTTTCTCCACATCCTTGCCAGCATTGGTTATTGCCTTTCTTTTGGGTAAAAGTCATTTAAAAATGTTTGTTAGGTGAAATAAAATATTAATTTATATTTGGTGGTAAAGGAAGACTAAAGAGATAATATATAAGCTGAGATCTGAAGGATAAATAAGTGTTGCCAGGTGGAGATGGTGGGAAGTGTCCTTGAAATAGATGGAAGAGCATGTTAAACATTTTGATTTTAAATTAGTGTATTTCAATTTTTAATGGCTATCTCCCTGTCTAGCCTGTGAGTTCCATGAGACTAGAAAGCATATCAGTCTTATTCTCTTAATTTATTTCCTGCACTTAGTACCATGATGGCAACAGTAATTATTGTTGAATGGGTGAACAAACAGGAAAATTAAAATGTACTATATTAGGGTATTTAACCAGGACAAAAACTTTCACTTGCTTATGGGCTTGTGACATTTATCTAGAACTACTAATATTCCTAATGCCTGAATGTCATTTCCAAAGTCTAGGTTTCACTTACCACAAATATGATACAACTCATTGATTTCATATTTTCTGAAAACACTTATGGTTCTGTATACTATTACTCCTTTTTTCCTCAGGAGCTACCAAATTTCGGTGTTCCAAAGCACTACCATGGTGTTTATCTGGTTCCTGGTGCCAGGTACTAGGCTTCCGCCTGTTGTTATAGCTTTCCCAACGCTCATTCTCACTGTCATACATCTGAACAAAGATTGCTTATGGATACATAGTACAATGTACAAACACACAATTATTGCTGTTCTGGGTTGGGCATTGTGTAATTTAAGAAGTAATCTAGCCAGACATAGTGGCTCATGCCAGTAATCTCAGCTCCTTGGGAGGCTGAGGTGGGAGGATTGCTTAAGTCTAGGGATTCAAGAACAGTGTGGATGACGTAGACCACGTCTCTACAATTTTTTTTTAAATTAACTAGGTATGGTGGCACATGCCTATAGTCCTAGCTACTCAAGAGGCTGAGGTGAGAGGATCACTTGAGCCAGAAGTTCAAGGCTGCAGTGAGCTATGTTTGTGCCACTGCATTCTAGCCTGGTGACAGAGCAAGGCCCTGCCTCTAAAATGTTTTTGAAAAGAAGCAATTAAGTAATAAAACTGTTTCCAAACTCAGCTCTGCCAGTGTGTGACCTGGAGGGAAATCACATCATTATTTGCCATTTCAACCATAAAATAAGGAAATATGCATTATAGTAACTTTTTTATGCTTTTATTTTAAGTTCAGGGGTACATGTTCAGGTATGTTACATGGGTAAACTTGTGTCATGTGGGTTTGTTGTAGAGATTATTTCATCACACAGGTATTAAGCCTAATATCATTAGTTATTATTCCTGATCCTCCCCCTGCCACCCCCCGCCATTCTCCAAAAGGTCCCAGTATGTGTTGTTCCCCTCTATGTGTCCATATGTTCTCATCATTTAGCTCCCACTTATAAGTGAGAACATGCAGTATTTGGTTTTCTGTTCCTGTGTTAGTTTGCTAAGGATAATGGCCTCCAGCTCTATCCATGTCCCTGCAAAGGACATGATCTTGGACATGATCTTGTTCTTTTTGGTGGCTGTATTGTTACAGAATTAACAACTTTACAGAATTAACAACTCAAATAGTAATAAACAAGATTTGATAAACTCCAAAGAATTTTACTTTTTTAATTGAGAAAGTTGAAAGAGATAATAAATAAAGTCTCTTCTATTTTTAACATTTTATAATTCTGGAATAGTCCAAAGTTCTCATGAGTGCCTCTATCTTTTCTCCAGGTAAATACTATTTCTATACTTGTCCATGGGATCCCATTCCACTCTCACAATGAGAAACTTAACAGAGCTACATGTTACTGAGACTGCTTTAAGTATTATTTTCCCAAGACAATACAAACCTGAGTCTGGCATCACTATTTTTGGCCTCATGACTATTATATGCCATTCCTGTAGGACTGCGATTAAGCATGAACCTTTCCAGCTGCCTTTATTTAATTATTTCTGGTTCCCAGGCAACTTGTTATTAGTCCATACTTCCTACTGTGCCCATGCTTCCACCTGTTCAACTCTGCCCTTTCCTCAGCTGGACACACCCTTTTCCCATTCTCTACCTAACAAACTCCTGCTCAGAATCCTAATTTCAAGGACTGGCACTGGACATTCTCTATTATTTTAGTTTGTGTTATTCTTACTTAGGATTCTTAATACGAGCTCTCTAGACATGTAGGTCCTGAGATTTTCTCACTTGCTTTGCATTCCATTTGCTTAGAGGGTAGGGAAGGACTATCTTATTAAGGGGGCAGATTCCTGGGCCCCACTCCTCCCATCCAATTCAGGCAGTCAGGGGCAATGCTGGAAATCTGCATTTAATACAAACATCCCAAGTATTCTGATAAAAATCATAGCCCATCCTTTCAGCAATACTGGAGGTTTAAATGAATGAGCTTCAGGGGTCTGTGAACCTCCAGAAATTCTTCAAAACATTTTGTGGCTTTACATATATTTGTATTTTTCTAAGGAAAGGTTTCATAACTTCCAACAGATTATTAAAGGAGTCTGTGATAGAATTTTTTTAAAAGCAACACTATATAATGTTAAATATTTACCATAAATATATATATTTGGCTTTGTTGAATAAAACTTTTTCCTTACTTAAAGGAAAAGAAAAAAGCATGAACTCAGAAATATCAATATCCTTTTTATAAATAAATCAATTTTGATGACTTGGTAAACTATGAAGTAGTCATTATAGAAAATAAGAAAAAACATACGAAAGTGTAAATGAGAAGACAAATATTACCCAATAACCCAGAAGCAACCACTGCTAATGTTTTTTTGTTATAGTTTTCTTTAAGGTGTTATTACTGAGTCTAATATAAGCATTTTACTCTGTAAGACATTCTTCGGTATACAAAAAAAGATAAAAATGTTTAAATTGACTAAGGACAGTAGACACACAAACACACAAACTTGGATTACACACTTTAGGTTCTGGAATGCTAGTTTTAACCTAAAGTAAGCAGCACACATCTATAATGCTGGAGGAAAGGGTAGTCCCAAATTCCACCTGTCATTTGCATTTAAACAGGAAAAGTACAAGACTAGTAGTTAGATAAATCTTGGTTCTGATCTCTCTTCCATCACTTCCTGCTTAAATAATTCCTGATAAGTCATTTAATATTACTGGGCTTCTGATGATTGACCTCTTATAGAGATAATGGCACATAACACTTTTGAAGGCAGGATGCAGAAATTTATGATATCCTGAGGTCCATTAGATATATGGATATACATATTCACAAACATACAATTATATGTATACATAGATACATATATATTTATATAAAATTATTATTATTCATGTTAGGCCATTGGAAAATGCAGGAGAGTATAAAGAAATAAAAATATCCTATATTCTTATAACTCAGAGGTAAAAGCTCTTATCCAGTGTGCTTTTTTAACACATAACAATTCAAGCTGCATCCATTTTGGCTTGGCATTGTCTTAGAGACACACAATGTATGTCTAATAAAATGATATGTGCCATATGTTGGATTTTTATTCAAAAGCAAATATTAATGCAAGGGATAGCATTGAGAACAGTGTAAGTAATGAAAAGATACATAAGTGCAGTACTTATATTTATACAAGCAGAATGTCAAATGCACTGTGTATAGAAGTTACATACTTGGACAGTTTATGATTATTTTTCACAGTATCCTTGCTTCACCATAAAATACAATGAAGTATACCTAAGGACTCTAACCTTCTATGAGTTGTAATATCCATGGAAACACAAAACTGGAAAATTCAGAATTGTCTTATTGATTTGTATCTGTATTTAACATAATGCTGGGCAAGGAACAGTGTTCAATAAATACTTATTTGTATAGCCTTTTACCTCTTTAACTAATCACACAACAGCTTCTATTAAACAAAAAGAAAAAGAAGTGAACCTTGTGCAATCCAAAGCAGAGTCCAAAGTAGTTAAAATGCTAAAAAGAAAACAATATTAGGCAGCCTGTGCTAAGTGTATCAAGTTGCCCAGGCACAGTTAACTGTCCTGGTTAGACAACTTCAGTTGCACAAGGCCTCAGGGTGAAACTGCAGCTGTGAAGAGGTCATAATGGTTGTGAAAAAGACAGGCAGTGGAAACGATCTTTGAGGAAACAGGTTGTGTAGTTGGCCTGGGTTGCTAGTGAAGGGCCAAGAAGAGGAAAAAAGGGAGAATAATAAGAAAGGTTTCTTAAGAGGGAATAACAGACCCAAGAGACGGTGGAACCCACTTTGTTTTCTAAGGAATCCTACAAGTTTCCTGTGGTGGACTGTAAATCACACACTTGTCATGACTACTCCACTTTCTCATGGGATTTCTGCCCTGCAGGAGACAATGCCACACTGAACTCTGCTTGGAGATACCTTGTGAAGCTCACTGGGAGTTTCTGAGAGCTATAAAATAGGTAGGGATTCTGGAGAACAGAGAGCAATAATTTTATTTCCAAGAGAATGCTGAGGTCTAACTAGTAGGGTTTAAATGATTAGCCCAAGACCACATGTCTTTTAGCAACAGAATTAAGTTTCTAGACCTCCCCTTCAGCACTGTATGTTACCGTGCCTCATCCAATTATCTGAATTGCAATGATCCTGCTAGGGAATCTTGAGGCTTATCAAGGTTGTTTTAAATTTTATAAACAATGGTTTGTTATTTATTCCGGAATATTATAGGCTCATCTGGAAAATTCTATCTGGAAAAAAACGATGCCCCTAAAGCCTGAATGGTTTTATATACCAAGATAAGACTGAGAGCCCAGAAGAGGTACAGGAAACACCTCAGACATTCTCAAAACTTTATACAAAATATATTTGCCTCAAAAAGCAAGGAGATAATGCTGAATAAAAGTTGACACATTATTGTGTAAACACTAATATAACAATATCTTTAAGCTTCTTTAACAATCTTAGCGCTTCAACATTATTTTATTTTTATTGACCTAATAATAAGTCATTTGAAGTTTTGCATAAAGTTGCCAAGTTCCTATTTCTCAGGGAAAAACTTTCAGTAAGGAAGAGCCCTTAATTTCTTCTTTAGTACCTGCTTAAATTGAATGGTTCCTCAAACATTACTATTATTTTTGAGACTGAGTTTCACTCTGTCACCCAGGTGGGAGTGCAGTGGCATGATCATGGCTTGCTGCAGCCTTGACCTCCTAGGCTCAAGTGACCCTCCCACATCAGCCTTCCAAATAGCTGGGCTACTGGTGTGCACCACCATACCAGGCTAATTTTTAAAAAATTTTTTGCAGAGACAAGGTTTTGCCATGTTGCCCAGGCTGGTCTCGAATTCCTGGGCTCAAGCGATCCACCCACCTTGGGCTCCCAAAGTGCTGGGATTACAGGCATAAGCCACTGTGCCTGGCCTCAGAAATATTTTGTACGAAGTAATAAACATAACCATTAAGTGCATAATATTTAAAGTCATTCATAAAACTCACCCTCCTAAATATGGGAAAAGACACATCACACAATCACCTTGCTGTTGATTACATGGTCTGGGGTCTCTGCCTTCTCCCCTTGCAACAGCCCTCTAGCCATGGGGGCTTGTTAAGAGTAGATGTGAAGGTTTCAGGTCGCAGCCTGTGGGACTACTGCTTAGTGTGTGGGGTGCTTTGCCTGCACCCATGGTTTCTTTAAGTCTTAAATGATGCCCGCTCCAAGCCATCATCCTAACCCCCACTCCTCCACTCCCGCCCTTGGCCAAAGCATAGATTGTAACCCCCTGCTACTCTCTGAGATTGGCCTTTGATGAGGAATTCAGGGCTTTCCCCATATCTTCTCTCCCCCACCTTTATCAAGGGGCGCTGCTTTTTCTTCCCTCCTTCTCAAGTGTCTTTTCGCACCATCACCAACCAACACCTTCCAAGACACTTCCTTGCTTTGGCCAGAAGCCATCAGGTAAGGTTGGAAAGAGTCTCTGACCTCCCTTGTTTAGTTTTAGAATCTCATTTACTCACTCTCCGCCAGCCTGGGAAATGACTTTGGGTCCTCAGCCCTGCCACTCTCTGCTGTCATCATCAGCTGATGCATTGGTTTTAGCTCAGGTTTTGATAAGGTGAAGAGAATTGTTACCAGGGTTACTCAGACCTGCCAGCTCTCAGAGTCCTTGGTGGTTAAACCTGGAGAAAGAGCACATGAAGACACTTGAAAGCACATATGATCCCTCTGCATTGTTTCATTTTCTTGTAATTGCTTTCGCTTTTAAAAATTGAAGAAGTTTTAAGCAGGGCTCTCATTTGGTCATCCTTGCAATCCACTGGGGTCTAGTTTGGAATCTCACAACTGGAACAAAAAGAACCTTGGATCCAGTGCATGCCTTGGTTTTGGTGCTGCTCCTGCTTCTCAAGATCCTCAGCAGGGATTAAGAAAGAAATTGGGGTACACAGCAGATCCCTGAAATTGGCAGACTTGACCTCCTGGAAAAATTGCTGTGTTTTTCACTTTCTGTTCAGGACCACTACTAAATGCTGAAATGTGGATGCATACCAAACTAAAAGTGATTCGTTGTGTACTAAAGTTTTTTAAAATTATTTGTGTAAAATCATCTTTTGAAGCAGAATCAAGTCTGAAAAGCAACTGATGTTTCCATTAATCTTTTTCTGGGGAAAACCTCAGTTCTAAGGATTTAGCATCCTGTAAGTGAAGTTTAACATAACAGTATTCCATAAGCAGCCTTTTTATGGTCAGACCATTGCCTAATTTTAATATAATTTTAAAATGTGTGCATTAATTAAAAAATGGGAAAAGGATCTTAATAAACATTTCTCCAAAGAGGATATATAAATGGCCAATAAGCACATGAAAAAATACTCAACACTCTTAGTCTTCACAAAAAAATGTAAATCAAAACCACAAGACACCACTTCACATTCATTAGAGTGGCTGTATTTTTTTTAAAAGACAATAGCAAGGGCTGTTATATTGTTATTGTAACTAAAGGCACAGAGAAATTGAAACTCATATTGCTGGCAGATATGTAAAAACGGTACAGTTCCTTTGGAAATCAGTTTGACGGTTTTTGAAAATGTTAAACATAGAGTTAACATACGACCCCACAACTCCACTCCTAAAATACTAATTGAAAGCCTGTTCACACAAAGCTTGTACACAAATGTTTATAGTACCATTATTTAAATAGACAAAAGGTAGAAACAACCCAAATGTCCATGAACTGATGAATGGACAAACAAAAAGTGGTTCATACATTCATCAGTCAGTTGATGAATCATGTTTAATGCCTGTTGGTAACACAGAATTTAGAGCCACTTTGCTTCACTCTTTTCCCAGTCTTGTTATTTATTTCAATGGAAACAAAATGTTCCTGTAAAGATGCCTGGATTTTTGGATATAGAAAAAGTTGTGGGACTGAAAAAAATGAGTGGAACAGAGATTTGAGTATGTAGAAAATAATCTTTTTAAATATTTGAACCAAATGTTCTAAAATTAGCTTATGGTGACTGCATAACCCTGTGAATATAGTAAAACCATTGATTTGTGGACTTTAAATGGCCGAACTTTATGGTATGTAAATTATATTTCAACAAAGATGTTAACAAAATTTTTAAATGTTATATTTTGTTTAGTAAGAAGGTATTTTTTTCTGAGATGCAAAAACATCATAGTTATCTTAACTCTTCCCCTCAGATTTTGGTGGCAACTTTTCATGTACTGTAAATATCATCAAAAGCAACCCCAAATCAATGATTAGTACTAAAAAGAGACCTTTTGTATCAAACACTGTTCATCTGCTGTTGGCAGTGGAGTTCATTTTTAATGCTACATTGCCCTCTTTGCGTCCAGTGTACTTTAATTTGCTGTTGGCTGCTTCCCAAAATGACCATATTTCTACTGCCCCCCCATTAAAAAGAAGAAACATCACAAAATTATTTCTTCAACATGTTCATTTTATACATCAGAATGAAAGGAGGTTACAGGTCTCCCATAGATTAGGGCTATTTACCATATCTCCTTACTTATTAGAGTCACAAATCTTAGCAGGAAGCCAGTTATGCAGATTGAAACATGAACTTCTTAGTCTAGCATTTTAATACTTTTTAATGGTGAAATTTATCTAGACTTATCTATAAAGTCTTTTGCAATTTGTGGTATGCTGAGTAAGAACTACAGAAGAACAAAAATAAAAGATTTTTTTAATGGCAACTTAAAAAATTATCACCACTTGTACTACTTACAAATTTTCCTCCAAAAAGTTACTTTGACTCATAGTCAATTTTTAATCTTGGAACAACTTCTTGCTATCACAAATACTTCAAGTGCCTAAAACATCTTCCTTACCAGCCAATATCTCCCGCTCCACTCTAAGAAATGCAAACTCGTTCAAGTTTAACCTGAATGCAACATAATTTGGAATCTTTCATTAAAATATATATCACACATTTTGAAGCCAAACATATTTTAAAATACCTGTTTTTGGTGATTTGGGGTACATATGCTTATCAGTATAACATATTTTAAAAGATTTTTTTCTACATACTCAAATCTGTGTTCCATTCATTTTTTCACTCCCACACCTTTTTGTCTATCCGATAATTCAGGAATCTTTACAGAAACATCTTGTTTCCATTGAAATAAACAACAAGAGTAGGAAAAAGAGTGAAGCGAAATGGTTCTAAATTCTATGCACCAACAGGCATTAAACATGCATAAACTTTTAAAGAGATGCCAAGACTCACTAAAAAGGAGAAAAAAAATACAACGAAGGTTTCTGAGTAGTTTTTAGTTACTCAATTTAAAAACTTTATCTTGTAAGCAAACTTTAACATCATCCAGAGCATCGCACTTATATATGAAAGAAAAAGTTCTTTATCACACCTTCAGAAATTACAACTACAAATTCCTAATCCCTTATTTAAAATCTTTTTGGCTAGATATGTTTCAAAATTCAGAACTTTTCTTAGAATAGTACGTCTGCCATATATTATGAAACACTTCCAGCAAGCTGTACTGTAATCAAACACAATATTTCTGTAGAAAACTTATGAATATTTACACAAAGGGAACATTCAGTTACACATAGCCTCACTTCCCTTCAGGTCAAACTTTACTGCTAAAGGAGTTAGAAACGACAGACAAAGGAATGGGGCCTGTCATGACATGTTAATTTGAAATCTAAATCTTTATCTTTGATAACTAGTTCAGAGTCAGTGTAAACATTTGGTCTTTCCTTCCACAAAAAAATGAAACAGTGTATTTAAAATTAAAAATGAAACAGTATATTTTATTTCAGAAGGTAAAAGCAAAATGAATTAATCTGTGAAACTAAGTCAATCACATTATGATCTTCTAGAACTTGGGTAGCTCCACTCTGGTTAAAGATTCCATTTCTTGGCACAACAGTAAAAGACATCAGATAGGCCCGGGGGTAAGCATCCCTGGGGTATTCAAATAACTTGGGTAGCAATGAAGAGCTGCAGAAGAGCAAGGAGACCCGAGATGATGTAGTGTGCTGCGGCATACCTGAGTTGGGCAAACTCAGCCTCCGAAGATTAAAGGAAAGAGCCCAAGTAGGAATCTGTGTGATCACTGTTCTTTTGCCAAGACACGGGGTGGACAATAAGATTCCTTTACAAAGCACTGGTGTAAGTGTTCGCCTGGTGCTGCAAAAAGCGGCTCACTGGGAATGGGGAGGAGCGTGTGGTAAGCCAGACCTGCGGCGAGAAGTTGGGTGAAAATGGGTCTTAACCATCGCTTCCTGCATCTATCCCAGAGGGTTGGGTACCTTCGTGGGCGGAGCGCGGCCTGCCCAGAGTGCCTTCTAGATCCTGGGTCAGGCGCCAAGCTCCCCAGCATCATGCAGGAAGCTGCAGCCCCGCAGAGTTAGGACAGCTCATTTGGCACCCGGCGAGCCCTTCCCAGGCCCGCAGCCCAGAATAGAGCCGGGGCCCAAGACGCCCACTGGAGACAGGGTCGGGTCCCACTACCGCGCAGGCCCGGCTCGCCCCCGACGTCAGGCACGGGGCGGGACCCTTGCAGCTGTCCGTCCAGTCCCGTTCCCCGGAAAGTGAGGGGCGGGACCCTCGCGGCTTTCTATCCAATCCTGTTCCCCGGCGAATGCGGGGCGGGACCCTAGCGGCCTTCAGTCCAATTCCCGCACCTTTGAGGCCCAAGGGGGAGCGAGCCGGTGCTGCTGCAGGCTGAGGCTGCGGCAGAGGCGGCGAGGCGCGGGCGGTGAGGACGGACAGGTCCGTTGAAGCAGCATTCCCTCCCTCCCCTAATCCTTCAACTCGGGGGCGGGGGAAAGTTAAGTCGTGCAGAACCGCAAAGGTGCCTGGATTTGGTGGGGGAGTAGTGTCATCAAGCATCTCGCCTGCTGGGGTCTCAGGGGTACCCTCAAGGTTGGGCCGCGGGGCTGCTCCGTTGTAGTGCTTAGATTTCTCTCACTTGATGGCCTCTTGAGTGCAGAGTTGCTCTTGGGTTGGTGGGAAGAGCCTCCGAGCTCTCATTGCCCTCTGCTCCTGCTTCTACCCCTTGCCACTCTGCGACGAACCTGTTACCCAGCCACTGAAAACGTATCCTCTACCCTTTGAACCCGTCTAATGGAAGGTGTACTTGTCTGAAACCTACTTAATTGTATGATCATTTACTCCTGCTCTCTAGCAGGTGGACTATTTGCGTGTGTTTGCAGTGATTCACGAAAAGTTTGTCTTGGGAACTCCCAACTCCTAGTTTGTCTGCATTCCACCTTCTTTCACTAGCTTGTTCATTTCTTTTTCCCTCTTAAATATTTGTTAAGCTTGTTTCTTTCTTCCCACAGTCACCGACTTAGTCCAGTTCCCTGTGATCTCAAAACAATTGTTGCAGCAGGCTCCTGGCAGTCTCAAGCAGTTCATCTTCTTGGTGTACTGGTATGTGACAATTCCTTCACGTATTGTTCGTGGTTCTTTTCCACTTTCTGTGAATTCATATCTAATTGCCCCCAGAAAGTCAATTCTAATTAAATCTAGCATAATCATTTTCTTAGTGCTATTGGAACCATCTTATTTAACTTAATCTTTGTGGTTGAGAATTCAAGAAAACTCTTCAAGAAAGAATCCAATAATTTATATTTTTAATGTGTACCGGTTGGTGGGTTAAGCACTATAGTGGGTATGTAACTAATACTCTTGCTTCCAGTTTTCTAGAGTCTATTAAGTGGCACAGAGGTAAACAGAATAGCTTATCTTCTCTGTATGTGTGTACTAGTCTTCTATTGCTGCCTTAACCAATTACACAAATGCAACAATTAAAACAACACAAATGTATTATCTCATAGCTTCTGTAAATGTGAAGTTTGGGTGGGCTTAGCTGAGTACTTGGCTTAGAATTTCACAAAACCGAAACCAAGGTTTCTGTAGATTTGGATTCTTTTCTGGAGGCTCTAGGGGAGAATCCACCTCCAGGCTATTTCAGATTGTTGGTAGAATTCACACTGACATTTCTATATCCTTACTGTTTGTCAGCCTGAGCCTCTTTCAGTTCTTTAAGGCCATCTGCATCTTCAAAGACACCACAAATCCTTCTCAAGCATTAAAGCAGTCTTACTTGTCTGCCACTGGCCAGAGAAAGCTCTTTGCTCTTATGGACTCAAGTGATTAGATTAGTTCCAATTCGATAATATCCCTATTTTAAGGTCAGTTCTGTAGAGAATATCACAATCACAGGAGTAATGATCTCACCATATTCGCAGGTTCTGGGGATTAGCAGGGGTGGAATCTTGGGGGCCATTCATAGTAATTGTGCCTACCACAATATGGTGGTTTCAGGCAGGATTATTTTGTTTTTATAATGTGCTTTCACAGGCATTGAAAACAAATTCTGACTTTATTGAATTGTATGATTAACCACTCTAAGATAAGGAAATTCACTTAAAGTTGGTTGCCCTAGGGGCACATGGCTAGAAAGTGGCAGAGTCTGTACTTGGATCCAGATCTACATTTCCATTAGGTACAAACCCATTTTTATGGATGGTCAAAATGGTGTGCAGCCAAAGTCAATAGATAGAAAGAAGCTAAAGAACTTTGAGTTAATTATTATTTCTCATTTTCAAATTATCTCTTTATATTAGTGGTACAGGCTAAGCTCTTCTCCCTACAATAGAAAGCCCAAAATACAATGGTATGAATAAAATAGAAGTTTTTTTTTTTCCATACATCTAGAGGTAGGAGTCCAGGACTAGTAGGGAGATTCTGCAATCCTGCATATATGACTTCCATAAATGAGGCCATGGTGCTGTTTAGTTCGTCACTACCTAGCAGGTAGTAAAAAGGAGGGAAAGTGCAGGGAGAACACATGCATTCCTTTTTGGGAGCATGACCTGGAAGTGACACACACAAGGTCATCACAAAGCCACACTGAGCTCCAAGAGAGGGTAGGAAAGATAAAACTGGGGGCTGTATGCACAGCTACAACTCAGGATTCTGTTAAAGCAGAGGAAAACAGGTATTAGCTGAAAATAGTCTCTTCTGTGTCCATGTTTTTGATAGTGTTCGATTCTGTAACCTATGAGTGGAATACTTTGTTTAGCGTTGCTATCAGTTTTAAAAAATAGTTTTTGAGAGAATAGGAAGTTCAAATTCAATATTAACGTTCTTTGATTTCTCAGTTGCTATTTTAACATATAATTACATTTAATATATTACATTATTTAATATAATTAATATATGATAATTTACAAAGGCTTTGAGAAACCTCATTTTTTATTTAGCATTTGTATACCTTATTCACATTTTGAGTTAGATTTCTTTGATAGCAATTAATACACGTGTCAATATGTTCAAGATTGCTTTGGAACACTTGAGACCATTCTGTGTAGACCTCATACGACCTGTGCAATTAAAGCAGCTTGTCATATGATTTATGTATTCTATAATAATCTTTAATTCTACAGTTGGACACTTCCACACCTCTTTGTACTTTGTGCTCCAAAGTTTTCTATATCAATGCAATATCAACACATAATCCTTTTCTATACATCAAATACTATCTACCCACTAAGATTTACTGCAGGTTCCCTTACCTTCTATCATGTTGTTTTGTATAGGGGAAAGATTGTAGTCTTAACAGATCTGGGTTTGGGTCCTGTGTTTGACATTAGGTAAGTTACTAAATTTCTGAGTTTTGATATATTCATATGTAAAATTGCAAAGAATGCCACCTTTCAGAGATAACATAAAAGTTAGAGAGCTAACACATGTTTTCTGTAATGCAAACTGGAGTACCTGGCAAATGCTAGGTGTTCAATAAATGGTAACTAATTATACCAGTCCCACTGATCACTCTTTACTTCTAGCACTTTGTGTCTACACATTCTTTTTAAGTTGGTTTTCTCTATCTGACAGATTTATAAATTTCATAAAAGCTGGTACCAAGTCCTAGATATGCTGTGGTCCCTAAATACTGGTTTAGTGAATTGTGAATTGTACCTAGGATACGTAACACTATCTATGAGATTGAAGTTGTGAGGGCTCTCTCTCTTTTCTTTAGGTTTCCTATTGTGATTTTATCATGGAAAATCAATTGGCTAAATCAACTGAAGAACGAACATTTCAGTACCAGGATTCTCTTCCATCACTGCCTGTTCCTTCACTTGAAGAATCATTAAAAAAATACCTTGAATCAGGTATGTTAATAATCTTTTAGTATATATTAATATTATTAGTAACTTAGAAAACTGTGATACTGTTGCTGGAGAAGGGGTCTCGATCCAGACTCTAAGAGAGAGTTAGAGTTCTTGGATCTCTTGCAGGAAGGAATTCAAGGTGAGTTGCAGAGTGCAGTGAGAAGAGACAGTTTATTGAAAGCTTCTCCATTATAGAGTAGGACATCCTCAGAAAGCAAGCAGACTGTCTTTAAGTTTTTCTTACATAGGGGTCTTATCGATGTAAAGACTAAGCTGTGCCTATGTGAGGGTGAGCAGACAGCATGACAAAATTTATTATTCTGTTGATTTAAAGAAAACAATCCTTGACATTTTAGTGCATGAATACATCAAAGAATTATGTTAATCATCTCAAAAACATATATTGTTATGGGTATTGAGACATCTGGACTTTCTACTGTTGTAGGAGTGTGTCATTGTAAGTATCTTTAGGTTGTTTCCTCAACTGTAAATATCTTATGACTGGGTCATGACTGGCAAGGAACGTGCCTTGCTAGTCTCAAGATGGAGCTGAATTTAAAATGGTGTTACTCTGGCTCTCCTGAGCTCCTGCTTCCCCAACATTTCCCCCTCTACTTATGAGAGAACCCTTAACCTTAAGGGGAGATAAAGGGTGAAGGTTGTTCTTTTGTAACTCCTTCCTGGAGGCAGTAGATGTTGATGGTTGGGACAGGGTCTTCTCATAATAGTGTGCAGTGAGCCTCTTCAGGGAGTAAGGGAGCTCCTTGCTTGCATGATATCCCAATTGTTTCTAGAAAGTTAATATACTAGGTTAGTAAATAGAAAGGTGAAACAGCTGCTAAACTATTTTATCTTGCAACCCTATACAATAAACACAACAGAAATAAAAGCACAATAACTAATAACAATGAATATTATAATACCAAGCATACTGAAAAGAAATGCTTTCCAAGTGCTGGAAAGCTCATGAAACTATGCTGTTATGGGGTCATAAGACCGGGAATCCATAGCCAAAATACAAGTTTCTAGAGAACTCATGTCCTGGGATATATTATGGCAGTAATCAGGAACATAATATTCAGTTTTGTTCAAGACACAAGTTCCTCCCTTGGCTGCAGTTAAAGAATGTATAAAGCCATATGGTTTTGCAAGCCCACTGGTCTTATTTGGGAAGTTTCTCCTGTCAGAAGTGTGATAGCCTGATGAGTGTCATTGAAAGCCGCACCAGTATGTTTTGCTAGAGCTTTTATTTGTAATTCAATGTCTATAGCTGCTGCTTGAAGAGAGAATATGGCCATAGGATAAAACCACCAAGAAGCCTGTTTTGTCATCAACTATGGTGGGCCTTGACTATTTTTCAGTTGGTGAGGAAGGAATTTAGATGTATAACAATATGTCGTAGAAGGTAATGTTGACCCCTAGTACATTGTCCAGTCCAGTTGTAAGGTAGGTATAGCCAATTGTGAGACCCATGTGCCCATAACCATCCCCAAGGAGAAGGATGAGCATGCAATCTTAGAGATTTATTTTGCCATTCTGTCCACTTTGATTAGTTAAGACCAGGGTCTGATTGCATTGTTGGGTGGCAACCACCCCATGTTGTAGGTTTCAGCCTGGAAGTGGCTGGTGTCATGTCTCTCAAGGCATAAGAGTACTTTACCTGTCACCTGAATTTGGGTAGCCATTAATCAACTAAGCCCATCAAAAATGGTATAGCCTAAAGTGGTGATGTTATTTAGTTATCTACAGAATAATTGAAAAAGGTGTTTTTTTTGTTTGTTTCAGTAGAGGAAGGGAAGGATAGTGGCTGGTGTCTTTTTGATATATTAGAAAAGGAAATATTGGCTAGGTGTGGTAGCTCACACCTGTAATCCCAGCACTTTGGGAGACTGAGGCAGGTTGATCACGGGATCAGGAGATCGAGACCATCCTGGCTAACACGGTGAAACCCCGTCTCTACTAAAAATGCAAAAAAATTAGCCAGGCGTGGTGGCGGGCCCTTGTAGTCCCAGCTACTCAGGAGCCTGAGACAGGAGAATGGCGTGAACCCGGGAGGCAGAGCTTGCAGTGAGCCACGATTGTGCCATTGCATTCCAGCCTGGACAACAGAGCGAGACTCCATCTCAAAAAAAAAAAAAAAAAAAAAAAAGAAAAGGAAAGGAAAGCATTTATCTCTTATAAACCATTCATTGGAATTGGAATGGCTTAAATTAGCCTATTTGATATGCCAAGGTAAGCCTGAGGTTGATGAAAGAGGTAATTCACTGCGTACCCAACAGTTTTTCTGGTTTAGAAGGGAGGCCGTAGTTTGTGCCCATTCTGTAAACAAATTAGCTCTAATATTATAATAGATCAAGTTTAATATTAAAACTAGTAATTTCATTTTGAGAGTAGTACTTATCCACTGGATGGATTCTTTTTTTGAAGAGAAGCCACAGGATTCTTTATTGGCTCACAAGAGTGTGCTGGAACAGTGGTCACCACGTTGAATGCCTGTGGGACTTTATGAGAGGCAGGTTTAATTTTGGATGAATGTACCCAAGTGTGTATTCCCTTACTCCACTAGAGGTACTTAGAAGCACTTGATAGGGTCCTCTCCACTTTGGAGAAAGTTGTCTATAGGAGGTCCTTCTTTCCAAGTCTTTAATATGACTAAGTCACCTGGTTGAACAGCAGAGTTATGAATATTTATGGAGGTGGTTCTGACACATGAATATTGAACAAACGTGCATGTAACATATGACTGTTTACCCTGCAATAGAGACTTAACCCTTGCCTTACGTGATCTTAGATTCTATTTATAATTTGGTATTTTATTGCCATAAAGAGTCTGTTTTGTCAATCTTATGATTTCTATTTTAATGCTAAGCTAGTCAGTTGTGACTGAATTCCAAGAAGAGGAAAGATATGGCAAGTCATGTCCAATCTCCCTGCTTCCCCTCATGGCCTGAATTAGTTTTCAGGTGTTTTGGATGCCCTTTGGCCAAGAAGAGGGTCCATTTTGTTGGGAAAGGGCTTAGAACTTTTAAAAACTTATTTATTTTAGTTTATAGTTCCCCTTTTTTTTGTTAAGGTATGCCATCAATGGCCAAGCTCTTATTTTGTCCAGTATTGATGTCAGGGTGGTGTGCTACCTGCCCTGGATCCATCATGTCCCTTGGTGGGACCACTATGGCCAAGGGACTTAAACAAAAGACTTATGGCCAATTAAACTTTCTAGGCCAGATGGGAATGGAGGTGGGCAGGCACTCCTTAACCTTAAAACCCCTTTTAAGCAACATAAGAGCCAAAAGCCAAATGGGACGGTTATAAAATTTGCTTATTTATAAATTCTATACATTAAGCTATTTTAATCTTGACTTGTAGCAATTAGCCATATAAAATACAACATTTTGTTCAGCTATAGAGGCAGTTTGCCTGACCTTGATTTGGAGGGTCTGAATTGATTTTATTCCCCACAACAAGCCCTTACAATCTCATGTGGTAGTCTCTGGGCCTGGAAGGACTAAATAGTTTCAAATTATAGAGGAAAACAAAACATAAGGAATTAATGTTTTAAACAAAAATGTCATAAGCCCTACCTAGTTATGAGAATGACATGAAAAGAAGCCCATACGTAGCCAAATACTTAAATTATTTAATATCAAGGCATAGAAAATTATATTCAGATATAGGCAAAATTATTAAATGAATCTTAATGTTTTGAATACAGGCCTGTCCCTATGTCTCTGTCTGTAGGTCTCATGAAAATAGTTTACTTTGATTGTCCAGGTCTAAAGACAAGGCTTTGATTAGCTTCAGCTTGCTATCAGATACTGGCAGGAGTCAGTGCCTTCTTTAGATGAGCTATATGTACTCAGGAGTCAAAGCCCTGTAACTGTAAGGCACAAGGATTAGTTAATAGCACTTGATAAGGACCCTTTTAAGGAACTAGAGGGAGTCCTTTAACGGATTTTTTTTCTTTTATTTTTCTTTTTTTTTTGAAACATGGTCTCGTTCCGTTGCCCAGGCTGGAGTGCATTGGTGCAATCTCAGCTCACTGCAACCTCTGCTCCCTGGGTTTAAGCAATTCTCCCAACTTAGCATCCTGAGTAGCTGGGATTACAGTCATGCACCACCATGCCCAGCTAACTTTTTGTAGTTTTAGTAGAGATGGGGTTTTGTCAAGTTGGCCAGGCTAGTCTCAAACTCCTGACCTCAAGTGATCCGCCTGCCTCCAGTTCCCAACATGCTGGGATTACAGGTGTGAGCCACTACGCCTGGCCCTTTAACTGATTCTTTTCTAGTATATATAATTATCAGGGTGGAGGTGGTATGTGTTAGGCCATTTTTGCATTGATATAAAGAAATACCTGAGGCTGGGTAATTTATTTTCAAAAAAGAAGTTTAATTGGCTCACAGTTCTGCAGGCTATACAGGAAGCATAGTGCTGGTATCGGCTTCTGGAAAGTCCTCAGGAACCTTACAATCATGGCAGAAGGTGAAGCAGGAGCAGGCACTTCACATGGTGACAACAAGAGCAAGAAAGAGAGAGTGACAGTGAGGAAGAGGTGCCACACACTTTTAAACAACCAGATCTGGTGTGAATCAGAGTGAGGGCTCACTTGTCACCAAGGGGACAGCCCAAGCCATTCTTGAGGGCTCTGCTCCCATGATCCAGCCACCTCCCACCAGGCCCCACCTCCAACACTGGGCGTTACATTTCAACATGAGATTTGGAGGGGACATCCAAACTATATTATGGTGATAATGGAGTTCATGGTGTGACTAAAAGCTGTAAAAAGATTCTACAGTCTTGTAGTGATTAATTTTTATAACTTTAATAAATCCCAGCAATAAGACTAAGTCAGAGACTTAATTTAGGATTTTGATTTTGAGGCTGTTTATTAAACATGTTAAAAGGCTGAAAACATTTGATCAAAACAGAAGCAGAGGTCATTGTAAAATAATAGTTACTCATTTAGCCAAAGTGATAATGAAAATGCTTTAGAAGCAATACAGAAGGTTACATGATGTAAAAACCTTAAGCCTTTTAAATCTTAGTTTTGGCAACCAAAAAAACCTAATAAAGACAGCATAGGAATTATACAATCTTGTTTCTTAAGACAGTTACCAAAAAGGCAAAGAAAAATTCTGCAGTGTGACTACTTCTGCTTATGGGAAGCCCATTTAGATAACCTGGACATCAAACCTGATGAAAAAAGTGCTTGGATTTAACTGGACCTAGGAAGAGTATATTCAAGGTTATGATTATAGCATAGGATTACCTCACTCTTAGGAACAGCATTAGTTTTTTGATTACATTGACAATTTAGATGTATTTTAAAAGCCAAAAGTACAGAATCAAGTTATACTAGAGGTAAACATTGCTTTTCTAGACCTTCAAGATAAAATATTTTAGCATTAGCTCATAACAACAGTAAAATTAGAACTGGAGAAAAAAAAAGTTGATGAGAAAGCTGAAGGAAAGAATTATCTCAGACCTCAAAAAAGCAAAAAGCAGTGAGACACAGTAAAAGCTGAACTTCTGGGATATGATTCTGAGACTTTTTAAAAGAAACAGTTTATAAAAGTAAAAGTAAAATTTCTTGTAATTTTATTAAGAGCAGATTAATACCATAAAAAAATCTTGTTTTAACATCGGGGACCAAAATTTAGAAAGACTTATTTATAAATGATTTTCTTTTCACTGTAACCAATTTAATCACATACAAAATTCCTTTCATGAATTCCCCTTCACAAATCTTATCATGACTTACACAAACCGTCTATGACATGCTTGGACTTTCTGACTTGTTCTAAACTTCTCTCTTTCCTAAATAATCAGTCATTTTACTTTAGGACAAAAATTTACCATACAAGATACTTTTTCATACAAAAGTATTCCCTTCTGTATAACCTTTCTTACCAAAAATATGTATTTTTTTTTTTTTTGAGATAGGGCCTCGCTCTCTTGCCCAGGCTAGAGTGCAGTGGCAAATTCACGGCTCATTGCAGCCTTGACAGCCCAGGCTCAAGTGATCCTCCCACCTCAGCCTCCCAAGTAGCTGGGATTATAGACATGTACCACCACACCAGGC